>NC_000010.11:89688549-89991580 GCF_000001405.40 Homo sapiens | reverse complement strand
TCAAATCTTTGCACATACCCACTCCCCCTCCACTTTCTGTCATGAGTGGAAAGAGCATGAGGTGTTCACCAGAAGCCAAGCAGATGCTGATGCTATGTTTCCTGAATTTCCAAGCCTGCAGAACCAAGAGCTAAATAAATTACTTTTCTTTATAAATTACCCAGCCTCAGGTACTCTGCTATAGCAACACAAAACAGACAAAGACAGGGGTCCAGTTTGGGTAATTTTTGCAAGTGGAAACCCATTTTTTCCAACACCATTTATTAAAGAGGATAGTTCTTTCCTCATGTATTCTTGGCACCTTTGTCAAAGATTAATAAACCATTTATGTATAAGTTTATTTCTGGGCTATCCATTCTTTTTCATTAGTCTATGTATCTGTTTTCAAGTAGGACCATATTGTTTTGATCACTATAGCTTTGTAATACACTTTGAAATTACTAAGGATGGTGCCTTCAACTTTGTTCTTCTTTTTTTAAAATTGTTTTGATTCATTGGGATTCTTCGTAATTCCATACAAATTTTAGGATTATTTTGATATTTCTATGAAAAATGCTATTGAAATTTTAATAAGAAATTGCACTGAGGCCGGGCACAGTCACTCACACCTGTAATCCCAACACTTTGGGAGGCCAAGGCAGGCAGATCATGAAGTCAGGAGTTCGAGATCAGCCTGACCAACATGGTGAAACTCCATCTCTACTAAAAATACAAAAATTAGCTGGGCATGGTGGCATATGCCTGTAATCCCAGCTACTCAGGAGGCTGAGGCAGGAGAATTGCTTGAACCCCAGGGGTGGAGGTTGCAGTGAGCCAAGATCATGCCACAGCACTCCAGCCTCGGTGACAGAGTGAGACTCTGTCTCAAAAAAAAAAAAAAAAAAAAGAAAAGAAAGAAGGAAGGAAGGAAGGAAAAAGAAAGAAAAAAGAAAGAAAAAGAAAGAAAGAAAGAAAGGAAGGAAGGAAGGAAGGAAGGAAGGAAGGAAGGAAGGAAGGAAGGAAGGGAGAGAAAGAAAGAGAAAGAAAGAAAGAGAAAGAAAGAAAGAAAGAAAGAAAGAAAGAAAGAAAGAAAGAAAGAAAGAAAGAAAGAAAGAAAGAAAAAGAAAGAGAGAAAGAAATTGCACTGAATCTACAGTTTGGAGGTAGTGTAAACATTTTGACAACATTAATTCTTCTAATTATAGAACATAAAATATTTTTCCTTTATTTGAGTCTTCTTCAACTTTTTTTTTTTACCAATGTTATACAATTTTTGGTGTACAAAATTTTTTACCATCATGGTTAAATTTATTCCTAAGTATTTTATTCTTTTTGATATTATTGTAAATGATGTTTTAATTTCTCTTCAAATAGTTTGCTGTTAGTATATAGACGCAGCTAACTTTCATATGTTGATTCTGTGTCCTGCAACTTTTCTGAATTTATTAGTTTAACAGGTTTTCTAGTTGAATCTTTGAGGTTTTGTATATAGGAAATTTTGTCAACTGCAAACAGGGACAATTTAACTTCTTCCTTTCCACCTTGGATGCCCTTTCCTTTCCTGCATCATTGCTTTAGTGAATTTCCAGTGCCATGTTGAATAGAAAGAGCAATAGCAGACATCCTTATTTTGTTCCTGATCTTAGAGAAAAAGCTTTCAGCTTTTTTCCATTGAGTATGGTGTTGGCTGTGAGCTAGACATATATGACTTTTATTATTTTGAGGTACATTCCTCCTATACCTAACTTGTTGAGTTTTTAATCATGAAAGCATATTGAAATTTGTCAATTGCCTTTCCCATATTTATTGAGGTGATCATATGATTTTTATCCTTTATTCTAGTAATGTGTTGTATCACATTTGTTGATTTGTATATGGTGAACCATTTTTTTTATTCCAGATATACATCCCACTTGAT
The DNA here is from genome assembly GCF_000001405.40 of Homo sapiens. NCBI lineage: Eukaryota > Metazoa > Chordata > Mammalia > Primates > Hominidae > Homo > Homo sapiens. The sequence goes on along the minus strand of NC_000010.11, from coordinate 89,989,683 downwards.
CATGGTTAAGTGTTAAATGGTAATCCTTTTAGTGGGATGTTAAATTTGGTTTTCTAGTATTTCATTGATGATTTTTGCATCTATATTAATCAGCGATATTGGCCTATAATTTTTTTTTGTAATGTCCTTGTCTGGCTTTGATATTATAGTAATAATAGCCTTCTAAAGTGAATTTGTAAATGTTCTCTCCTCTTCCATTTTTTTTAAGAGTTTGAGAATAATTGCCATTAATTCTTCTTTAAATGTTTAGCAGAGTTCACCAGTGAAGCCATTTGGTTCTGAGCTTTTTTTATTGGTAGATATTTTATTACTGGTTAAATCTCCTTCCGATGCATAGGTCTATTCAGATTTTCTATTTCTTCATGATTCAATCTTGGTAGGTTCTTTGTTTCTAGAAATTTATCCATTTATCCTAGGTTATCCAATTTGTTGGTGATAATTATTCATAGTAGTCTTTTATGGTTCTTTCTAGTTTTGTGGTATCATTTGTAATGTCTCCTATTTAATTTCTGACTTGTTTATTCAAGTCTTCTCTCTTTTTTTCTTAGTCTAGCTAAAGATTCGTCAGCTTTGGAATGCTTTTTAAAATTCCAGTGTTCAGACTGAGAATGAGATGGAATATGATGTGATGCAAAGAGGCAGTGAAAAAACAATGTGTGCTGGTGGGAAATAAGAGAAAATTTACCAGCTGCTATGAGTGGAAAATTGTGGGCAAAGAAATAAATGTTTGCAGTCTTTTTAAGAAACTTTACTATGATATGGACTATGAAGTCTCTAGTAATGGTTTACATGTTGGAAGTTCTGTTTAAAGTGATTATAGATTACCCACATTTACCTCTCTTTTTTCATAAAACACCACAGCATTCCAAAAAAGTGATAAAGTATACTTTTGATGATAAAAATAAAAATAACACAAAACATCAGCAAACATATCAGTTTCAGAATTTCAAAATACATAGAAATATGGTAGCTATCTTAGCAAATTATAAAGAACAGAATGCTAACTGCATGAGAGAGAAATGTTAAACTTGGAACCAACCCAAATGCCCATCAATGATAGACTGGATAAAGAAAATGTGGCACATATACACCATGGAATACTATGCAGCCATAAAAAAGGATGAGTTCATGTCTTTTGCAGGGACATAGATGAAACTGGAAACCATCATTCTCAGCAAACTAACACAGGAACAGAAAACCAAACACCACATGTTCTCACTCATAAATGGGAGCTGAACAATGAGAACACATGGACACAGGGAGGGGAACATCACAAACCAGGGCCTGTTGGGGAGTGGCAGGCTAGGGAAGGGATAGCATTAGGAGAAATACCTAATGTAAATGACGGGTTGATGGGTGCAGCAAACCACCATGGCACGTGTATACCTATGTACGAAACCTGCAGGTTCTGCACATGTGTCCCCGAACTTAAAGTATAATAATAATAATAAAAAAGAAGCAAGATAGTTTGTGATATATAATTCCAAAAGTCTCAGAAATTGGAAGTTCCAGGGACCCTTGAAATATGGTACATGCAGAGAAGAAAAGAATGATTTTAGGTCTTCATGGGGAGATTTGAATTTTTTTGCCTGTCTCTTTTTCAGAAGAGAATGTTTCCAGCTCACATTTTAACTGAGAACACAGCTTAGCTGACTACATACAAAGACTTGGGGCTTTGTCAAGTGTGGCTAAGTGACCTTTAAATCGAAAGCTTAGGTCATCAGCGATTAGGAATTGCTCCAACACTTGCTTATCTCTCTCTATTCACCTTGTTGCTCCAATTTGGCCTCTGGGTGTTTCCACTACATTCAAGTCAGCTCAGCCATTAATTTTGAAAGGTGGGTGTGAGTAAGTTTGGGGGGAAGAGGGTTCTAGCTTATTTTTATTGATGTATTTAATAGGGCATTTTTCTAATTAACAGATGACCATGTTTCTGGGAGTTTAACTCTTTTCTATATGCTTTTGAATCTCCTAAATACTTCATTAAAAGTTTTAAGGACAAGCTCCTAGAACACCTTTCCCAGCCTATCAACCAGACAACCAATCATACCTCCTCCACCCTACAGACAACTGGGAATTTACTCAACTGAAAAGGCTGAACAAGTGACACAAGATACAGGTGAGGAAGGGGATGATCTAAAAGGGGATGAATGTGACTGAATGGTGAAATCCTAAGTGCCTCTACCATACATGCTCACAGAATGCTTGCAGCCAGGTTCAGACCTCCAGGCCTAAGTCGGAGAAGCCCTCTGCAAAATGGCCAGCCTAAGAATGAAAACCTATAGATGCTGATATTTGAGAATCCGCAACAAAGAGCAATAATCCTACAGTAAAGCCAACTACTCACCAGCACCCTCCACACATGCACTGCTTCTACAGCTTTGTAGAACATCTAACTTAAACATGTAAAAAAAAAAGAGCTAAGAATTATAAGACATTTAAGAAACTCCTCCACATGAAAGGTAGACATTAAAATAAATAGGAAAAAACTTGCCTGAGAGACAAAACATAAAGCAGAAGAAAACTTATCCCAACACACTTATATTTAATATGCAAAAGAGAAGATTTTGTCTTCATAGAACAAGAAAAGGAGGCTATGAAAATGAACGAGCAGATTTAATAAAGACTGAATAACTTTGGGGTGAATAGCAGATTCTAAGATCTTTCAGACAGGGGAAAATAGTTACATAAAAGAATACGTGATCAGAATCTCACCAAATTTCATAATCACAATGTAAGAAGCTAGGCTGCAGAATGACACTAGAATAAAAGGGAGCAATGGTTTCAAAGTTTTTGGGGACAAGAGGCACAATAGATTTCTATATACAGCCAAACTATTAATTGAGGGTAAAGGTAGGAAATGAAATATTTTCGCATGTGCAAGTTCTTAAATAATTTACCTCCCAAGAATTCTTTCTCAAGAAAGTAATGCAAAATATGAGACCCCAAAATGAAGGTATAATCCAAGAAGAAAAAAGACAGGGGATCCAGAAAACAGGAACTCTACCAAGCAAGGGAGTAAACGGAATTTCCAGGCCAATGAAGAATAAGGATGAATACTATGCAGCAGCCTAGATTCAAACGGGGACAGAGACCTCCAGGAGGAAAAAGATAACCCTGAGCTAGTTGAGTAATTTTAACATATAGAGAGAAGATATACACTTCCGGTAGAAAGTTTGGCATGAATTATTGATAGGTACATTAAAAACTCAGAAAAATAAAAGAGGCAGTTATTAATGTAAGTCAAAACAAAGTTTAATCATCACAGACACTACAAGATGTGGCTCTGAATAATAAGGTAAACAGTAAATAATGATTTAACCAAAACGACGATATGTGTTTAGTGAGAAATAGGCTATAAGTCAGCAAAAATCCTCACTTTTTATAGTATTTTTCCAATAGATACTAAAATGGAAATATTGGTAGATATCAGTAGATATCAAAAGAAACATGTTATTTAGAAATCAGGAGATAAATTTCAGAAGACATGCTCCCAAAAAATCTCATAGCAATTGCCCCTGAAGAACCACATTCTGGGAATTGAGGGAAGTGTGGAGGATAAGAGACTACTGGTTTCATTATGTCTTATAGAACTATTTGTCTCTAAAATATGTACGTGCACTGATTTAAAAAGAAACAAAAATTTAATTTTAAAAATAAAATATATATATTATTCTTTAATATTTTTGGAATCATACGTGTATCTCATTTGAATGTGATTTCACTTTTTGGCTCCTTGGAGTCCAGCTTTGTCTAGTTTGTGAGCCTACTTAGTGTTCCAGGTGCTGGGCTAGATGCTTACTTGTATTCATATATTGGAGCCTCACAACAATCATATGAGGATGTTCATTGCACTTCCCCTTTCAGATAAGAGAATAAAGAATCTAAAATAGAGAATAAAAAACAATGTTCCAGCGTTTCTTGGAGCAAAGGGTGGTTCTGCGACACAGTTCTGGCCAAGGAGCTGTACGTAAAAATCTGCAGGCAGCTCATCTTTCTGCCAGGAATGTAGGCGTGCTACAGCCTTCTTAAATCAAGGAGCATACAAGCCACGCACAGACAATGAAGGCTAGAAAAAGCCTGGATCACCGATCTTCTCCATGAGCGCCAAGCCAGCTGGGACTATCTACCTCCAGACTTCTTGTTAAGTGAGGAAAATAAAAGTGTTTAAAAATATTTAAGCCACTCAAGTAAGATTTACTATTGCACATACCTAAACACAACTCAGCTAATAGAGGCTCCAAAGCCTCTTCTCTTTTCTAGGTCTTGTTGCTTCTCAGACACCCAATTTAGGCTGTCAGGAAAGGAGAGAATAGCTCCCAGGAGAGGGTCCCCCTTTTCAATGTTCTTTCACATTTCTCTGTGAAGGTACATGGAGGTGGGAGTCTCCAGAGAAGTGCTGATGGATTGCATTGTCATAGAAGCACCAACTTTCTAAGTCATAATTTTTCTGGCTTGGTGAGCTAATCAATAGAAGCTTTCCTTTTGAAGCTGTTTGATAGAATTGACTAAGATGGCAGAATTGCCTATGGATAGTCAGAGCCCAGGGCAAGGCAGGAATTGCACTGGACTTATCTGACTTTTTGTTATTGCTGTTGTTGTTGTCGTTGTTTTAAGTTAACTTATAAATAACAAGTATAGTAACAATGTCCTGTAGACTGAATGTCTGTTTTCCCCCAAAATGCGTATGTTGAAAACTGATCCTTAATGTGATGTTATGTGGAGGCGGGGCCTTTGAGAAATGATTAGGTTATGACGATGGAGTCCTCAATAATGGGATTAGTACCCTTATTAAAGGGACTCCAAAGAGCTCCATCCCCCCTCAACAGTGTGAGAATATGGCAAAAAGATGGCCACCTATGAACTAATAAGTGGGACTTCACAAGACACCAAATCTGCCAACGCCTTGGTTTTGGACTTCCTAGTCTCCATAACTGTGAGAAATAAATTTCTGCTGTTTACCAGCCACCCAGTCTACGGTATTTTGTTATAGCCGCTCGAACAGACTAAGATACAATGTTAAGGGGTAAGGAAAAAAACCACCCACATACCAACTACCCTACCACAACTATTTTCATTTTCCAGTTTTCTTAGAGTCCATGCACTCGTGCACTCTTACTTTTCACAGCTATAATCATATACATATAATTCAGTTTCTCTTTTACTTAACATTATCACAACAAATCATATTTTTTCCATGCACGGTCTCCATCATTTTCACTTTTATAATTTATTCTTTTATTAAATACCTACGATGTTATAGGCTCTAATGTTAAAGCTACAAATTGAATAATATTTTATCAAGTAGCTATATCATGGTTACTTGACCATTCCACTAAGGGGATGAACATTTAGTTTGTTTCCAATTTTTCCTTTTACATATAATGCTGCCATGATCATCTTCAGAAGCAAGTATAACTTTTTTGTTTGTGATAATTATTTTTGATTTTTGGCAGTGAGACTGGACCAAAGGCTAGGGATATCTTAAGGCTCTTAAGATACAGTACTGTAAACATTTTCAATGGGGGACTTAACCACCTTTGCTGGAGTTGCACTGGGCTTTCTTCTTCAGATCAGTGTCTTCTGAATCAAACTCTCAAACAGGTGTCATTGGTTGACAAAGTCCAAGTTACGTTCTGTGTTATAGCAGCAAGGAAAGTTGAGGAAGAAGTGAGTGTCTCATTTCCACCTTCAGACATGGAGATAGATGAGAAAATTTTCCCAGATGTACAAATATTTTTTTAAATGTTATGCAGCCAAAACTCATGCTTTCATTTTACACGAGTGAACAGACTGGGCCATTTCTCTCAGTTGACCCTACAATATGGCTTGAGCTTGCACCACTTTACTGAAACTATTCTTTCTAAGGTCTTGCTTGACCTTAGCTTCCCCAAACCTTCTGGCTAATCTTTGCATATTGTCTTGCTAAGTCCCTTACTTTATTTTGGTAATTCCTCCTCATTCTTGAAAGTTTTTTTCCATTTTGGTTTCCATGATACCATACTCCACTGGTTCTCTTTCTTTGTTTCAGACAATTTTTTGGTCCCCTTTCTAGTCTTCCTCCACTGGATGCCCAAATATTGTTATTCCTCAAGGTTTCCGCCCAACTTTATTTTCTTAAGCAATAGCATTCTCACTCATGGACTCAACTACCACCTTGTATCAGTCTGGCTTTGGTTAGGGAAAAAAAAATCATTTTATATATGCCAGATATGAAGAGTTTAAATATAGGGAACACCAAACCTTGAAGAATTCAGAGTAGTGAAGGTTGTGGGAACTGCCACCAGTATTCTCAGTAGCCATTTCAATTATCTTGACCTAAGCTGGTAGTTTTTGAGGGCTCTCCTGGAAGCATCTTCGAACCTGACATCTGCTCCTGCATCTATCTGCAATTGACTCTGGAAAACAATGACCTCTTCTCTCTTGCTTTCCAAATCTGCAGTGAGTCTCATCTCATATCTGCATTAGCCTTTCCAGAGTCAGGGAGAGCATCTGGTCACAGAATCCCCAGAAAAGCTGGCATTCACTGTGATTGGACTCCTTTAGCTAACATGTTCACCTCTAAACCAATCCCCAGTTCTATAGGTAAGGCATGTGACTTTGTCTATGCTAATCAGTACACTTCATCCTCCTAAACCCAGTGTAACTAACAGTCCATAGAAGGGGACTCTACCCCTTTGGAGCTACAGGTGAAATTAGCTTCCACAGAAACACATAGATCTCACTGAAATCTAAGCCTCTTAGAAAAGTGAAATAAGGAAGAGAGGAATCCTCAGGTGTTCAGTGTTCATCTTTACTTCCATTGCCTTTGTTTTCTCCTGAGAAACCATGATAATCTCATCATAACCAGTAACTCTTCCTCTAATCCATTTTCTCATTACAAAGTTATTTATGGAACATGTAAATCTGACAGTGTCACTCTCTGTTTAAAACCATTTGTGGCTGCCCTTCACCCTATTCTATATAAAGTCTCAGTGATCTGGCCCCATTTACCTCAAGCTCATGTCTCTCTGATTGCTGCCTCTCATTTCATACTCCGGCCGCATCCAATCACAATATGCCTGGCATAGTGCTGGTCATACACTATGTGCTCCACCGATGATTACTGAGTAAACTAATGCATGAAAAAATGAGATGAGATGAGATAAGACGGTTTGCTTCCATTCTGAAGTAAAACTAAGGTAGTCTTCTGGTTTTTTTTTTTTTTTGTATCCCACTTTTCTCTCATTCTGTGTGGGGCTCACTGCACAGTGGGTGTTCAAAGATGCCTGTTAACTAACAAAATTAGAACATTCATTTTATTACCCAAGAAAGAGCTCCATTGAATTTTTTATTCCTGGCAATTTAAAAAGATTTTTCTGGGTTTTATAATTATTGGCCTGTTGTAGGATAAGGAGTGGGTGAAAGAATTCATTAGCTCATTAAAATACAATGAAAGGAACATAATTAAAACATTTAGGCAATTTCCGTATCACAGAAAATGAATAATCAGACGTACAAAACAAATCCTCAGCCAGTTGCTTGGCTGAAGCAAGCCCACACTTCCTGCTTTCTCATAACACTGTCAACTGGCTGGTTCCCAACACTCTTCTCTATCCACTCCTCACAAGAGAATTTGCTTTAATGAACTCTATTCTTAGTGCAGAAAGCTTAAGTCGTGGTAGCATAAATTATGGCAGGGAAGTACTCTGAAAACCTGGAGAGGGAGTATTAGGGTTTCCTTTTCCCTATCTGCTTCTAGTAGTTTGGTTTTGGCTCAATAACTGTACCTGCCACTGTGCTCAGTGAGTTACCCACATCATCTCATTTAATTCTCCCAAATGAGGTATATCTAATTATCCTCTTTTCATGAATGGAACTGAGGTTTAGTGATATGTCCAAGATCACACAGCCAGTTAATAGAATCAAAACAAAAATAAATGGTTTTAACCAGACTCCCAAGAGCCCCTGCTTTTAAACATTATGTAAACCGGAATAGTCAAAGGATTTCCTTCTTTGATTTCCATGGCACTTGGTCCTCCCCTGGCTGCAATGAGAGGATTCAACGCTCCCCTGACCCCCATGCCATTAGACAATTAGACGCAGCAGCTAGCGCTGCATGTTTGATGAGTGACTGTCTAATGCTGTTCTCTTCCCTTCCCTACTCCTTGCAACTTTTGCCATTATACCTTCTGCTGATCCTTGGTTCCATTACTCCCTCACATATCTCCTCGCCTGCTCATCAGTTTCCAAGGATCACCAAATGTCCTTGAGTTCCTCCCAGTAAAATATGGAATTTCTGGATAGTAACACCTGAAGATCTGATGACACAGAAGGAACAGCAGCTTCTCATCTTAAGATGCTCAGAGGAAGAACACAGGGATTATAAGCCTACAGCAGCAATACCCAAGAGGTAAAGTACTGCCAAGCAGTTGGCCTAGGACCTAGAAATGGGAACAAGTTCAATTTCTACTTTAAATGACATTATCTGGGACATCTCATATTAGACACTTCCAGATGCTTTCGTATTCACTATGTCATAAATCCTACTAGGAGACCATGTATCTTTTTTTTTTTTTTTTTTTTTGAGATGGAGTTTTGCTCTTGTTGCCCAGGCTGGAGTGCAATGGCACAATCTTGGCTCACCGCAACCTCCACCTCGCAGGTTCAAGTGATTCTCCTGCCTCAGCCTCCTGAGTAGCTGGGATTACAGGCATGCACAAACACGCCCGGCTAATTTTTTGTATTTTTGGTAGAGACGGGGTTTCTCCACGTTGGTCAGGCTGGTCTCAAATTCCTGACCTCAGGTGATCCACCCCACCCACCTCGGCCTCCCAAAGTGCTGGGATTACAGGAGTGAGCCACCACACCTGGCCAAGACCATGTATCTCATTTGACTTATTCAACTAACATATCCTCTGCAGAGCCATAAACTGGAATGTTGACACCCAGGGCAAGTGCCACAAAATGGCCACTCAAACCGGTTTTATAAGCAAGGCCTGGTTTGCAAGTGGGTGTTAAAAAAATGCTTTATCTTTTCATTTTAGCTAATTATTCTCGCTAAGGAAAAACTAAGTTTTTGTTCATGGGAATGTGTAACAAATTTTTAAAATATAAAATCTTTTTAAAATATATGAAAATTATATACCCTCCATATTCTGATACCCAAATATAGTTCTGAAACTCTATGTGCAGAACAGTGCCTTGCACATGACAAGACAACCTTAACATTCTCCTCAGCTTAACTGAAATTAAGACTGATTTCCTCCTGACTATAGACCCCTGACTTTCCTTTCCTTAGAGCATTTACTTTAGAAAGCTTTCAATTGTAAATTATTTTCCTGCCCTTTTGAGATGTAAATCATCTCCCAGCCTTTTGCCAGATTTATCCAAGAATGTCTTTCTCAAGAACCTGAGAGCTATCCCTTTGAAATGAAATCTTCAAAAAAGATAGCGTTCCTATCTCACAGTCTCTGTGAAAAAGTAGGAGCCTATATTAATCAGGGTTCTCCAGGAAAACAGAATGGGAAAAAGCGTTGGGCAGAGAGGGGGCATATTATAAAGAATTAACTCATATGTTTATGGAGGACAGTTAAGTTCAAAATCTGCAGAGCCAATGTTTGAACCTGAAGGCTAGACTCTGCTGTAAAAGCAAGAAGAGTCAACGTCCCAGTTGGAAGACCTTCAGAGAAGAGCCACTGATCCAATTTAAAGACCACTAGGCAGGAGAATTCTTTCCTTCTTTGAGGAAAGTCAGCCTTTGGTTCTATTCAGGCCTTCAACTGATTGGATGAGGCCCACCTACATGGAGGACAATCTGCTTTACTCAGTCTGCTGATTTAAATGTTAATCTCATCCAAAAACACCCTCATAGAAACAACCAGAATAATGTTTGAGTACCATCACAGAGCCTAACTTCAGTAAGTGCCAATTAGCAAAGACAAATTGCCAAATTACATTCACCAACTTACCACCTAATGTTCTCCAGTGCTTTTCTGCTAGTTCATATTTGGGCTTAAAAATCTGCCCACCTTTTATTTCAGTGAAGTTGAGCTCAGTTCTATACTAAAATCTCTCTTTTACCGCAGTAACCCAAATAAAATCTGTCTTTCCATTCTTGCCAGGCATCCAGTGCAATTTTTCTTCAACACAGATTAATGAAGACTGTACGAGCAAGTGATCTACCAAACTAAAAATCAACCCTGTAGGGTAGGTATCAACATCTCTGTTTAGCTACTCCTATAAATAAAAATAAATATTAATGTGTACTTATTATGTGTCAAGTACTGTGTTCAGTGATTTATGTGAATTAATTTACTTAATGCTCACCACTACTCTATGTATTAGATACTCAATTATTCCCATTTCACAGAATAATTATCTGAGAATTAAACAGATTAAGTAACTTACTAAGGTCACATCGTTTGTATATAGTGGAGTCAGAACTAGAATTAAAATTGTTGTAAAGAAATAGCCTGTCTCGAAAGCCACATTTCTACTCAAAATACTATCTATTTTCTTTCCTTTTTTTTTTTTCCACTAGAAAAAAAACACAGAGCTCTATTATTCTCAACACCAATGGCAGCGGTCTTCATAGGCCAGCGGAGTGAGTTCTGTCGACAGATAGGTGGCCCCTACTTGCTGGCGATGAGTGGGTTCCGCAGGACCACGATGACCAAGTCCCCGTGCAGGAACATCCTGGAGATATAGCAGTCTTTGTTGACTGGCTTGGACTTCTTGCCCTTGCCGCTCTTGGGTACCTCAGTCCACGTCTCCTTCACGTTCTCCAGCACCATGTTGCAGTGCCTGTGGAAGGCCTTCACGTGGCCCAGGAGTTTCGTGTTGTGGCGACAGTTGATGAGCACTTGCGTGTTGTTCTTGACTGACTGTGTGAGCACAGAAAGTGGACCCGTGTTAAATTCCTCCTCCTCTCGCTTCTGCAGCTCCTCTGGGGTCATCTCACTCTTGGACTTGTTAAGGAGGCTCATGATGGTCACTACGCTCTCGGTTCATTCCCGTTTCCTCCGCGTTGCTGCTGCCTGAATACTATCTATTTTCATAATGAAAACTCATGCTGCCTCTCTTTTCAAATGTTTTGGATTTGAAGATGCAGCCGCCCAGGGTAATGATGACCCACTACTGATCTATGTAGGTGAAAAATCAACAGCTAGGAATGGAGTCCACAATTTTCATGAATGTGAGTTTTATGTTGTTTTAGTCAGCTCAGGCTTCTGAAACAAATACCACAGACAGGGTGACTTAAATAACAAAAATTTATTTTCTCTTAGTTCTGGAAGCTAGAAGTCTGAGATTAGGGTGCCAGCATGGTCAGTTTCTGGTGAAGGCCCTCTTCCTGGCTTGCAGACAGAACTTTCTTCCTGAGGGCTTACACGGGTTTTCCTCAGTGAGTGCATGTGGAGAGAGATCTCTCATTTCCTCTTTTTGTAAGGCCACCAATCCTATCTGATTAAAACAATGCCTCCCCAAACCCCCCTTGGCTTCATTTAACTATAGTTGTCTCTTAAAAGCCCTGTCTCCAAAATATAGTCACACTGAGGGTTAGGGGTTCAACATGAATTGGGGCAGGGTTGGGAGGGATACAATTTAGACCACAGCATATGTAGGCACATCTTTCATCCTCTTCTCCTTGGCATGGTCACAAAGCCCTCAATATCTGTTTGAAGGGAAGAGAATAAGTAGAATAAGTCTGAAGAAAATAGGTAGAAACCAAAGGTGGAAAGTGAAGACAAGTTCAATCAATCATCAGAAATGACAGAGACAGGATTGCAGCTGCCTGAATTTCTACCTGAAGTCTTGGGGGAAAAAATATGTCTGAAGAAATAATAGAGCTAATATCATAGACCTTCAGTGAAGAGAGACATGCAGAGACAGCAGAAAGAAAAATCTATCAAGGTGAAAACTGAACAAGACTCTATTCTGCCAGCAGCGCCGAATAAAAGCAGACTTGCAGAGAGAGCTACTGTCCATCCAAGGAGTCGTTCAGCTCCCTCAGTTCAAAGAGAATCTGTGCCTCTTGCTACTCCACTTTCTGTCCCCTCCCATACTACACAAAGCCCATTGCACTGCCCAGTAACTCCAACACAAAAAGTGCAAGGAAAGGAAAGGGAGGATAAGAGGAATAATGAAGTTCAAGTGCTTAATGACAGTTAGTCATAGACCTAAACGTGCATTTCACTGCTTTCTGTTTCCAAAACAAAGCCAAAACCAAGGAGAAAGGAGCTTCCTTCTTGGCATCCCTCAGATCATCTACTTGGTGGGGTTCAGGAATGGACTTATGTTACCTACCGTTTGTAAGCTTCTTGGCATCCCGAGCCTCTGGCCCAGGTGAGCTTCTCTGAGGCTCCAACAGCCATGGTAGGGTGGGTCTGTTTCTCTAGGAATCTTCTGTCTGGCCTTCTAGCTCCTGGACCTTCCCCATTCCCTCCTAGTGGCTTAGCACCAAGGAAAGGGTGGCCTTACTTGTAGCTCTTTTATTGTCAATTATTTTAACTAGGGGTAGATGCATGTGATAAAAAAAAATGTAACGTTTCCCCAAATCTTAGATCCTCATCCCAGAAATAACAACAGCTCCATGTGCATCTGTGCAGAGAAACTTGACATTTTAAAGTACTTAATCAAAACAAATGACTGCGTATGATACACAATGATACAATAATCTGTGCCCACAGCCAGTGATTGTACACACATAAAACCACTGATTTCAGAGTTGCTGTTATCTGTTTTACTATTATAAGCAGATACCACCAGGGTGAATTACAGTAAGGTTATAGCTATGAATCAATTTGATGTGTTAGTCAAATATGTTATCACTTGTTGTTTTTTATTAATAGAATTAAAATTTCATTTCAGTTTCCATAGAGTTCTGCACAAAAAACACTGCCAGCTCTTGTATAATGGCACTTAAGTTAACTACAATTATGTTGGTGGAAACAGTTCACCACAAGGTCTCCCAATCCAAGCCATGTGGCTGAATCAAGCAGTTAATAAATAATGTTGTGTGTAATAGACACAAAAAAGTGGTACCAACTTCCCATGCTTACCATAATCCCATCCCAGATTCAGGAAAGGGTACCTGTGTAGCCAGGACATTTTCTTCCTTAGGATGGATGTGGCTGCTGCTGATAAATGCAGCTATTATGACCTTGAGTCAAGTTTTAACTTGACTCAGTTTCCCACCAAGGCTGCTACCTTAAAAAGGGAATCAGAAGAATAGGATGGCAGCTAGATGCATTAAGAAAACAAAATGCCTGAGTTCAGCAGTGATTCAGTTCCTGTAGAGGTTAGCTCTGAAGCCTGTGCACAGGGTAAAAATTACTTATAGCCAAATTATCCTTAAAAATCCCTTGGAAAGGCACTACCTTGTTGATATACCATATCTTAATAAGTCTAAAGGAACAAATCACTGATTCTGCAGTCAAGGTCCAGTTGAAATGGCTGGTTGATGTTTAGAGGCCACACTGTATGTGGTATGCAAAACCCTGAACACTTGAATCACCTTCACACAGTGACATGCTCACGCTATAAGATGCACTCAGGGAATCAGGGAAAAGCAGATTCACACCTCCCATTCATTCTTTCTCCAGGGCACACACTTGCTGACTGCAGCAGGCAGCAAAATCACCAGCACTATAAAATTATGTTTCTCCTGTGTTTCACTTCCGCCTTCTTTTATTTTGCCTACTGAGTTTGTTTGAATATCTATGGTTTATATGCTTAAAAGCTTATGGCTTATAGGCTTAAACTTTGCTCCATAACAACCAGCAGTCCCAGATTTGTGTATATGGCTCAGTCATTTTATAGTTCTCTCCTTGTCCTCCACATAATAATGTGCCCATTGGAGCTTCCAAGAATCTCTCTTCCCTGAGATTATAAGACAGGAAACAGGTGCTTACTTTTCATTACTTTTTAATAAACAATGGATAGATTACTGGCTAAACAGCTGTATCTTTCTTCATGAGAAATTTACCAGTTCTAAGAATCAACATTTTTATGACCAGGTCATGCTAACCAGGACAAAGTTATTCTATTTTAATGTGCATTTCTGATTAAAATATATTCAATACATGTTTTAATTCTCCTTTCCCAAGACAAAATTATATCTGAATAATTTTCTGGAGGAAAATTACTATACATTAGTAACTGCTTTCATTTATTCTCTCAATGTGAGGAAATCATAAATAAAACTTTAAGAAATCTTTGATACAGATGCAAGAGGGATTTTGTGAGTTGTAGGAGTGCAGTATCAAGAGAAAATGTTTGTTTGTAAAGCACACGTTATTTCCAGCTAGACTTTATGACTATCAGTCTCTCACTGAGCCTAACAACTTAAACAGAAAGCCTGACATAAACTATGCTCTGTGACTGCATTTACCCAGATTTGTTCTTTGAAACACTTTCCTGCAGAATTTTTATAGGTATTACATCAAGAAGTTTGAGAAACACTTTTGGTTTTGAAGTTTCATTTACTATAAGACTTCTCAACACTTTTAGTAGGATAACATTCATGATATATGTCTCAAAGAACAGGATATAACACGTGCCACTTCCCAAACATGTATGGCCACACCCTTTTAACAGAACATCCCCAGGGACTAGTGTTCCATGTACCATACTCTGGAAAATGCTGCTCTAATATACTTAAGATAGGCATGGACTAGAGATCATAAAATTGTTCAAAAGCACAATTATTAGCAACTATTATCTTTCCGAAGTCCATTTACAGAATTAAGTTCATCTTCTTGGGCTTGTATGAGAAAGACATAAATGCTTGTGGAAGGTCTAGATCTATAACAAATAGGGCTAATTAATAAAAATTATTTGCTATAGTAAAGAGAAGATTTTCGAAGCCAAAATTCAAAAGCCAAAAATATCCTGGGAAAAGAAAGAGTCAGATGAAAGATTCGATATGAAATGGGATTGAAAACAGAAAAATAAAAGACAAGATAAGATTCAAGCAGGCAAAGTGGGACAGCTCTGTAATTAATTCCACATATTCTTTAAGCATCCACCAGGTACTGCTGAGCGAGCAGACCACCATATTTTGCTGGGCTAGGACCCTCTATCTAGGTCCATGTTGCCCTTCCTAGAGCTCAGACCAGCCTCCTCATTATTTCTTTGTGGCCCTCCCAGCTGACCACAGCTTGGCCCAACTGTAGATCTTCCTAAAATCTTATCTTGCCCTAGCTCTGGCCAATTCAATCTTAAAGCCAAACTGTATATGCACAGCCATGCTATGTATTTCTTTAAGACTCAAGATCAGCATGGCACTTATAAAAATATAATTCCAGGTTGTTCTCCAAGTTATACTTGGACATTTCCACATATGTGGTATCTTCAAATCTGAGATCAATGCCTTAGTTTCAGCATTTGCAGTTATCTAGCAAGGCTTTCCTGGAAACACTGGGGACCCAGCATTATTATCTGGTCACCACCACCTAATTTACACTCGCATAAAAGAATACATTACATCCTTTGGTCTCTTTCAGCTCCTTAATTCTACAGAAAAATACACAGAATCAATAATATGTATTTCACAGCTCATTAAAGTCCTTTCATAATAGTGTACAAATCTAATGTGAGATAAGATACTACTGTTTTGCCACTTACTTTAGACAAGATACCTAGCTTTTCTGAGCCTGTTTCTTTTCTTATTAAAAGGAGATAATAGCTACCTCACAAAGTTTTTGAAGGAATCAATCAGATAAAGCATACAAACTATTTATTACATGGCTTTGCACATGACTAGCATTTATTGAGTTCTCTTTATGGAGAACTATAACTTTACATTTGTGAGTGTCAAAATTTGGAATTATCACTTACATTTCAAAGACAAAATTTAAAAATCACAATAAAGGAAGGCCCATGTGTCTCTGCTTTACAAAGCCAAGTTTAAAAGTGATTTTCTGCATTACCTGACTCTACTCTTCCACTAAAGTTTCCCCTACTCCAAGATTTCTTTCCTACAAAACAAGAATAATAAAAGTAGAAGGCAAAAATCCAACCAGAAAGTGACATATGCTTAGCAACACATCACAAATTGAAAAGGAGGGAAGAGAGGATTAAAGTACAAGGGAGGCATTACACAGAAGTTTGCTACAAAGCAGCAACTAAGCTGGCTTGAAGAAGTTCTGGCCAGATTAAAGACAAATTCATTTAAAATTGGAAAATATGAGTCACAAGTTACAATAATGCTTTCTGAACGTTTTGGCCATGATGGAACAAGAGAAACCACTTAAGAGAAATTATAGAGTTGTAAAGCCTTGTTGGAATAAGAAATTCATATCAATATATTCCCGCTGTTATTTAAGGACAGCTTGTTCCAAGGGTCAGTTAAAAAACTGCCATCATAGCAGTCAAAACTTAGTATCTATCTTCCTCTTTTTTTTTTTTTTTTTCGCTTTTGTTGAGACAGAGTCCCTGTCGCCCAGGCTGGAGGGCAGTGGTGCGATCTCGGCTCACTGCAACCTCCATCTCCCGGGTTCCAGCAATTATCCTGCCTCAGCCTCCCAAGTAGGTGGGACTACAGGCATGTGCCGCCACACCCAGCTAACTTTTGTATTTTTAGTAGAGATGGAGTTTCACCATGTTGGCCAGGCTGATCTCAGACTCTGACCTCAAGTGATCTGCCCATCTCGGCTTCCCAAAATGCTGGCATTACTGGCAGTATCTATCTTCCTTTTTAAAAATCCATTTGCCCATATGGATTTTCTCCATCCGCTTCCATACCACACCTGAGAACAAATCCCGGAGAAAAAGATATTATTAAGCACCCTGTGTCTCACAGACGCTCAGGTCTTCACTCCCAGGTTGGAAGCAGTAGCCCATCCAGACAACAGACTGAAGGCACTGAGGCTTCAGCATCATCCACCCTGCAGACACTCCCCAGTAAGCTGCGGCAAAAGGCACACACAGGCAGGGCACCTCATACCATATCTGATGACCTTCTCCTCTCTGCTCCCATTGTTTCAATGTTTAGATTGTGTTAGGCAAAGATTTTGAAGTCAAAAACAGAGCATGGGAGAAGAAGAACAAATACAGAATCTTGTGGCTGGGGTCCAAGTGTGCCTTCCAGCACTGGAAAGGTAAAAGGGCTGTCCTTAAATATTTACACAATTTTTCAATTGTTACCAGTTCTTGCACACTTTATGTTTTGTTGCTCTGAGATTAAGTTTTTATTCACTATCTGGTGGTGAAATGTCTGTTTATAGCAGCTTTGACCCCATTCAATTTCCCAGAGCTGGACTTAAACATTTTTTAAAATGCAGAGAAAGAATCTCAAAACTCCCTAGAGGCGTTGTTGCTGGTTTTCTGTTCTGACGGCTGTCACCCTAATGCAAGTCCTAATAAGACCAGGCCTGAAGCTTGCCAGGTGCCCCCTATTAAGCATGCCAACCTCTGGGCTGCCATCCACAATACCTCGATAAAAATCTTCCCAACCACTGCCTTTGTGGGGGGCCCTCTTTACACATACTCCCAGTCTCCTCAGCTAACTTATTTCACCTCCTACTTTCTGACTCCCACTCTCCTATTCCGTTATGCAGAACTCCCTTCTTCCTGGTCACACTTCCTTCCTCTTCCAACCTCTGAATCATTGCACCTGCCATCCCCCTGCCTGTGACATGCTCCTGCCTCCCCATCTCTACTTCTCCATCAAACCACAATCCTTCTGCCTTTGAAACATTGCCTGGAGATCATCTTTAATCACAAGCGAATTTCCTCTTTTCTATACCTTAGACTGGAAAGCCTCAGAGCTCTAAGATTTCTCTGGAAGATCACGTGTTTGCCTCAGTAATTCTCACAGTGTACCTGCAAACACCTGCATTGGAATCACTTGGGGAATTGGCTAGAAGTGTGAATTCCTGGACCTCACCTCAGATTACATCAGAATCTTGTGAAAAAAAAAAAAAAAAAACAAAAAAAAACCAAATCCTTCATTTTAACAATCTCCCCAGATTATGTGCACATTCAATTTGAGACCCACAGATGACTCCAAACTCATCATTTGATGAATGGTTTTGTTCAGTGAACATGGACTGTCTGTCAGGCATGTTACATGCATTAACTTATTTAACCCTCCTGATGTCCTTACAAGATGGGTGCTATTTTAAGATATTGCTTTTTCCATTTTACGTAAAAGAAAACAGAGTCTCCTAGAAGTTAAGTAATTCACACAGGAAGTGGTAGAGATGGGACTCAAACCCAGGTATGGCTGAGACCCAGAAAAATGCACTGACAGACTTGCAGGCTTCAGAATGAATGGTGTTATGATCCTGGCTTGACCAGCCATGGTCACTGGAAGTTCACATTCCATTCTAATCCTATGCTACAAGAGGAGCATTGATAGGCTGACATTCAGCCAGGGAAGCAAGAAGCTGAAATCCTTTCATGTAGACACTAGGCCTGGATCACCCAGAAAAAGTAAAAGTAATAATGTCAACATACTTTTACAAGAGAACATTTTGGTCTTGTTCATTTCGGGGACTTGCCTCTACTCCCTATGTCTCTGGCTCAGTAGGACCAGCCTCAAGGACACTAAAAACAAAGCATCACACCAAGCCCAGCATGTGTTTCTGTAAGGGTCTTCATGCCTGGTGGAAAGTGTTTGGGAATGATGAACAGTTTCATTGCCTCTTCAGTAAGGTCCCTTATTAGTAAATGCTTCTGAAAAAATAGCAGACTTGGGTTCACCTCAAGCAGCACTCAGACGTGAGCCAGGCATCCCAAGTGTAATTCAGATAGTTCAAAGGAAAGCAACTCTTCTGATGATACAAAGTTTCTTTGAAAATTATTGGCTGGGTGCAGTGGCTCATGCCTGTAAACCCGGCACTTTGGGAGGCCAGGGTGGGCAGATCGTTTGAGCACAAGAGTACGAGACCAGCGTGGGCAACATGGCAAAACCCTGTCTCTTCAAAAAATCAGCTGGGTGTGATGGCATGTGACTATAGCCCCAGCTACTTTGGAGGGTGAGGTGGAAGAATCACCTGAGGCCAGGAAATCAAAACTGTAGTGCACTGTGATCACACCACTGCACTCCAATGTGGGTGACAAAGTGAGACCCTGTGTTAAAATTTAAAACAAGAAAAGAAAACAAAATTATTGACATGTGCAAGTTTTCTCCAGTGGCATTGTTTTCATCCAAATTGATCCCCTACTTATAAATACTGACTAAAAAAACAGACAAAATAAAGGCAACTTGGTCATTCTTTTATCAATTTAATGGGTGGATACAAAGATCACAAATAATTGAATTAACTATCCACTTACGTAAGTGGTTCAAGCCAATATGATAAAGCCTTTTGCCTGCAATGGATTAAAACCTGAAAACAAGTCAAGATTAATTGTGAAGGACTTTAGGGCCCAGCCAGTCTTATTTTTGTTTGAAGAAGAGCAAAAATGAATTATGATGTACCTATGTAGTTCTTCTTTGCCCACAAGGACTAGAAAGATGATATGCTTACCCCCTTGCCTTGACCCATGTACTGCCATCACAAAATGGGCAGAGTGGGGTAGGGCACAGGCATTCGCCTGGAGGAGAATTCTCAACTCGGGGGAAAGGGAGCCCTAAATGGCAATTTGTTTCACCCTGGCATTTCTGAAGTTCAACCATACTAAGACTTTTTGTTCTTTTACATTCTTATGATCTCTTTTGTAGTTTCGTTTCCTCTGCTTATCTTTTTAAAATCAGTGAGTGTTGGCTTCTTTTTTCTACACATAGGTCTCCTGGACAATTTCATCTACTTAAAGGACATTATTTACTCCAAGTTGATAGCGCTCAAATCTTTGTTTCCTACACAAACCTGTCCCCTGAGCTTCAGATCTGAAGGTCCAAATGCTTCATGGGTGTCCCTTCTGAAGATCTCACAGGCCCTCACATTCACCACCTCCAACACTAAACTCTTTTTCCCCAAATCTGATGCTCTTCTCTGATTCCCACTATCACTGTAAGCCAAGAATCTGGGCATCAAAGCAACCCTTTCCCTTTTTTTGTTGATCACATCTCCCAGCCCCAAATCAGACACAGACTATCTCCTAAATCTTTATCAGACTGGCCTTCACCTTCTTTTTATTCCTTCAGCCCCTTCTCAGCTCAGAACTCACTCTGCTCTAACTAAATAATTTCACCAGTCTTCTCTTTGATTCTCAGTCTCTGGTCTCTCCTCCTTCAAACCATCCTCCACAAGGCCTTGGCCCCAGAGAAATCTTTCTCTTTTAATAAATATCATTAATGTGAAGTATATGGAGATCGTGGGAGATTCAGATCATACCAAACTATATGGGTTGAGAAGTATGGCAGGCTGAATTATTGGCCCAATACTGCACCCTTATGTTATATGGCTTTGAAGTCTTTCCCTGGAAGCCAGTGTAATCGCCACCCTTTGGCTTTGGGCTCAGCCACAGGAACTGCGCTGGTCAAGCACATGAGGGTGGAGGTAACAGTGTGGCCATACAGAGCCTAACCTAAAAATGTCCTTCATTTTCTTCTTAGCTTCTTGCACCTCTGTCATCTTATGATAAAAATGACTCCCCTGTCCAAGAAGGACAAGAGACATAGGGAGTACACCTGGACCCCATCCACATTCTGGAGCTGCCCACAGACAGGTGAATGAAGCAAATCCTTATTAATAATAAGGGTTTTGTAGTTGGTTATTAGCAGCAATAGATTACTTTGTCAAAAACCAAACATCTCCCTCTTTATCTGCTTGTCCATATATATTTACACAGATATTTTTTCTAGTAGAACATTTTTGTTTCTTTTTTACTTATTTTATTTTGGATCTCTTTCCATATCAGCAAAAATAAAAATAAAAATTTTAAAAAGGAAGCTTTCTGGGTATAATGCGTGATGGTGGAAACCAGGCTTTGCACTGGGTAAAAATGAAACTAACTTTTCTCTATCATTCAAGGTGCTTTTGTTTATTATAAATAACCAACAACACCAAATCAAACTGACTTAAACAACTTGGAAATTTGTCATCTCATATAACAAAGGAAGCAATCATAGGGCAGCCTCTAGGTATGAGTGGCCCAACAGCTTCATGATGCCATCAAGGATCTAGGCACTTTCTGTCTTTTGAGTCTGCCATCCTTAAGGTTGGCTCCATTTAATAGAACAAAATGGCCACAGCAGATCCAAATATGACTTCAGATATGGCCATACCCACATGTCAACCAGGCTGGAGTACAGTAGCATGGTCATTTCTGCTGCGTCTTTTGTACAATTTCCCCAGAAGAGTCCCCTTTAGATCTCATGGTCCAGGATCAGGTTATATGCCCATTTCTAATTCACCATACCAGCACAGGGCTCAGCCCTGAGGCTAGAAACAATAAATTAACAAAATACAGACCTGACCTCCAGGAACTTATCCTCTTGTAAGATGACAATTTATCATGTTACTTTTAACAAGAATAATTAGAATTTTTATTTTATTATATTATTATTTAGTATTTTAAATGAGTATCTACCTTGGGAGGAAGAAGAGGAAGAGAAGGCAGGGCTCGGTGGCTCGCATGCCTGTAATTCCAGCACTTTGGGAGGCTGAGGCAGATGGTTCACTTGAAGCCAGGAGTTCGATACCAGCCTGGCCAACATGACAAAGTATTTTTAGTCTCTACTAAAAATACAAAAATTAGCTGGGTGTGGTAGTGTGTGCCTGTAGTCCCAACTACTCAGGAGGCTGAGGCAGGCGAATCACTTGAACCTGGGAGGCGGAGGTTGCAGTGAGCAGAGATCATGCTGCTGTACTCCAGCCTGGGTGACAGAGTGATACTCTGTCTCAAAAAAAGAAAAAGAGGAAAAGGAAAGAGGAAAAAGAGGAAAAGGAAGAGGAAAAAGAGGAAAGAAGGAGGAAGAGGAAGGAGGAGCAGGAGAAGAAGAACAAAAGAAGAAGAAAAGAGACTGGAGTTAACACCAAGGAAATAATTATTAATGGTAGAAATTCAAGCATCAAGAGATATTTTTTCCTAGTATTGCCATAGCTATGATTGTTTCCCAAGTTGATCTTCCTGGAAACTATGGCTTCATCCTAGAACGAGATTTCTTACTATGCCTTAGGCCAAGGAAGGAAAGAGGAACATAGGTAGAGAGTAGCGAGGGGGCAGGGGACAGAGAGGAGGAAAAATCCAGGGAGTTTACAGAAGAACATAGCCCAAAGGAGAACAGGAAATATTTGTTCTCCTCATCACCCAGAGAGAGTGGTCACAGAAAATTCTTTGGGATCCCAAGTAAAGACACTTAGTCTTGACTCCCAAGAGAAACTAACAGCTCCTCCTTGCTAAAAAAAAAAGAAAAGAAAAGAAAAAGTAACCTTCAAAATCATCTGAATCATGTGCCACCATCTACAGGTATCCTCTCATTCACCACTTGTATGCTCAGATCTGTATACAAACACAACCCGAGGAAGGAAAGAAGCAATGCTGAGATGTTGGGTGAATCAAAAGGCCTGGACTTGAAACTAGATTCTTCTTCTAACGAGCAGACCTTGGGCATGTCAGCTATTATCTATGCACTTCAGCTTCTTTTCTTCCCAGTGCCACAGTTGTTGTTTTTGTTTTTTGTAAAAATCAATAAACTAGTGTAAGAGATAGAAAAAAACAAATTATTTTTCCTACTCTAATTCCCAATATAGAATAATTTACCTCTGGTCACCAAAATGTGTGGGAATTTCTCCCCACCAACAACCAATTTTTCAGCAGATGCCAACTGGGTGTCCTATAATTCAATTGAATTCTGACACTGTCACCTGGAGATAGCATCAGATCCTACAAGTTTAAAGCTGTGTCCTGCAAAATTGTCCCCAACTTCATACGCCAATCACAAGCAGTAAGTCGTCACCTATATTTCTGACTCACCACCTATAAATTAGAATTCCTATGACCCTCTCCTCAGATTTGGTTAATTTCTAGGATGGCTCACAGATCAAGGAAAACACATTTATATATTTATTATATTAATAAAGGATATAATAAAGGGGACAAATGAACAGAAAGATGGAAGAGATGAGTAAGGCAAGGTATGTGGGAAGGGGCATAGAGCTTCCTTTCCCTCTCTGGGTATACCACCCTCCACATACCTCCGTGTGTTCAGCAGTGAGGAAGCTCTCTGAACCCCATCTTTTTGTGCTTTTATGGAGGCTTCATTTCATAGTCATGACTGATTAAATCATTGGCCACTGGGATCAATGGAACCTCCTGAGAAGTGGGAGTGACGCTGAAAGTGCTAACTCTCTAATCACAAGCTTAGTTCCCATGGCAACCAGCCCTCATCCTGAGGCTCTCCTGGAGCCCACCAAGAGCATCCTCATTAGAACAAAAGATGCTCCTCTCACTCAGGAAATTCCCAGGGATTTAGATGCTCTGTGTCAGATGCTTCTATCACTCAGGACATTGCAAAAGCCTTGGGAGCTCTGTGTCAGAAATTAGGGTCAAAGACCAAAGGTTAAAACAAAAGATTCTCCTAGCACCCTATTTACAAGGGTTTTAGGAGCTCTGTGTCAGGAACTAGGGGCAGAGACCAAATATATATGTCTTATTATATAACAATATCACAGCTAGCATATATGAAATCTTCTTGTGAACACAGGTTGGGTAGGCCAGGAGTCAGCCACACCGACTCACTTCTATTCTGGGCCCCGAGTGTAATAGTAATTAATGTCCAGGGCTCATCTCTGCCTTGAAGATGCCATCTGTTCTGCAGAACTGTAATCTCCCATACCTCTGTGGCACCAGTATATCCATGGTGTACAGATATTGGGCATGGTTCACATCAGGGGAAATCTCTTGGTATCACCATATGGGAAGTCCCTGAGGTCATTTGTTTCAGGAGGCACTGAAACACAGTGACAGGCTGGAAGAAAGGAGTAAGATTTTATGTTGTTTACAAATGAATAGAACAACCCTAACACTGTCATAACTCAACACAGATTGAAATCTTTATTGCAGGCTGCCACCTTCTCCTAACTTGTCTCAAGTAATCTCTAGAAGTTTATCTTAAAAGGCCAGTTACTCTACATTGTTCCTCTCAGTGATGTAGTAACTACAGAGAATCCATCATATTTTCTGAAAGGTAAATATTAAGCTTATGCATATCCATATCATATTGGCCAATGTCCCCTTGACTTTGATAGCAGGACTAAACTGACTTGTGTGAGAACCGAATTAGCTACCCAGAACATCATGCAGACGTTCATGCCATTTATCACCATCTCTCACATTGGTTGGAATGATCAAAACAATGCCAGAGATCTTCACAACACAGAAAAGTTTCTACAAATCAGTATCAGCTTTCCATATTTCTATAGCTCTCACATGTGACAGGTCCATTAAAAAGTTATCTTTTTATAAATAACTCCTCTGACATTTGCAATGTCATAGGTTTGGGTTTGTAGAACTAATACTTCATGATTTCTTTACTCTGCAGGACTAGTTCTGCAGCTCAGCGTATAGGAGTTATGAACCCTGGTCCATGGCTGGCTGAATCATGGAGGACAGAGAAATTATGGTTTTAAATTATGCTTTTAAAAACCTCTATTAATTAATCTATTAGTGGTTTGCTGAGTTTCCTTGGAGTATATACAAGACAAGTTTCCTTGGAGTATATACATGACAAGCTTCAATTTTTTCCCAAATAATTTTCCCAATTATATTACGTAAAATTCCTATTTTTTATCCAATAATGTTATTTTAGGAAAAGTCCATAAGTCTCTAATCAAATTTAATTTGATATCCCATTCAAAACTTTCTCTTTGTTCCCATTGCATGTTAGACTTACAGGTTGAGAGGCTCAAAATGCCTCACCTTTTATACACCTTCCCCTCTTCCCTCTTCTAGGAACTAACTTCCTGAGTATTAGGGCAGGAAAGAGGAATGGAAAGTGAGTTGTGATGGTTGCATAACAAATTATCCTGAAAACATAGTGATTTTAAACACTAATAATTATATACTATCTTTCTTAGCTCATGTGGGACAAGAATTCAGGAGCAGTTCAGCTGGGTGTTTCTGGCTCAGCATCACGAAGAGGTGGCAGTCAGATGTTAACTTGAGCTGGAGTCATTGCAAGGCTAGATTGGGGCTGGAGGATCTGCTTTCGAGGTGGCCCGCTCACATGACTAGCATGTTAGTGCTGGTTGTTGGCAGGAGGCCTTAGTTTCTCTTTACATGTGCTTCATCATAGGGCTACTTGAATGCCCTCACAGCCTATATCTGGCTCTCCCCAAGGCAACCCATCCAAGAAGCCAAAGTGGAAGCCAAGTGCATTTTATGACATACTTTTCTAGCAGGTCTCACATTGTTTCTTCCACAGTATTCTACTGGTCACACAGATGAGCCCTGTTTCATTGTGGAAAGGAACTGCACAAGACCATGATCACTAGGGGGTGACCATTACTGTGCATTATCCTGGAGGCTGGTTACTATTATTGGAAAAGGCAAATGTCTCCTTAGTCATCTGAGAAAGATCTTTCACTTGTCTTCTTGTTGATCTTCTCTTCTTATGCTAACATTCTCTAACCATTGGAGTCTTCTGTGTAGTAGGCAGTAAGGAGGAGTATCTTGGTATCTTGGAGAGTCCATACATGGGTTCTCTGGGGGGTCCTGTAAGGCCTCCCCCTGCAGAGCCTACTACCCTCTTTCATGATTTCCCCAGGATCTCCCACAAGCAGGCAATGCCACAGCCTTTTGCTGTTGAGGTTCTTATACTCAGAAAACTTCCCTCTTGAGTGGGAATAGGAAACTGACCCACGCTACCTCATGTTGTGTTCACCCATCCTCGGCATGACAAATGTCAGTATATAGGTACTCCACAGATGTCCCACATCTCTGACCCATCTTCTTTCTCTGTTCTCCTTCTCCCTCCTCAAACAGGTACAGAGACATAAAAGCAAGTTGTCAAAATGGAGAGCAAAAGTAATCCAGTTTTCCCTTCTTGAAAACACCTAGTATTTTCACAGATGATTCTCTTGGTGAGAATCATCTCTTCCCTTGTGGGGAGGAGAAGGAAAGTTGCCTCAGAATCCCAGAGGAGTGGGATGACACATTTCCTCTCTCCAGGCTTCTTTTATAGACAAAGAAGGCAATGGTGATTAGCAGCAGTGGGATTTGACCACCTTTTAATAAACAAACCCTATAAGAATGTTTCCAACTCCAGTTCTGGGCTATTCATTTACAGCTCTCTCTACAACATGGGGGTACTTAGCATCCTTGCTTTTCCATTTTGGCCCTGGCTACAACTTAATGACTCCAGGAGAAGTTAAGCATAAATAATATTTAAATGGCCATGTAAAATATCACATCCAATTACAGTAAGATTTTCTTTGTACCTGATCTTCTCTTCCTCCTCCTGTGACCTTTTAGAGTGCTCCTCTGATACTTGGATAAAGGAGTCTTTCTCTGCCAAAGAGGCTTCTTTAGCAACTTAAACCAAACCAAGGGCAGCAAGTAGGCTGTACCTCAGATATTAAATTGTAAAATTGTAAATCAAATTTGATTTTATATCCCATTCAAAACTTCCTCTTTGTTCCCATTGCATGTTAGACTTATAGGTTGAGAGGCTCAAAATGCCTCACCTTTTATACACCTTCCCCTCTTCCCTCTTCTAGAAATTAACTTCCTGAGTATTAGGGCAGGAAAGATGAATGGAAAATGAGTTGTGATGGTTGCATAATTGTCACTAGCTAATTGGAACATTGTACTAATGATCATGAGACTAACGGCAGGCCCAGTGAAAAGGTGAGCCTTGATCAATTAGCAATGTCAGCTAGGGGTGCAGGTGGAAGGAAAGAAGCAATGGTCATTCTGAGTATTTGATAGCCTTAATCTATACTCTTCTGATATTTCAATGAGAATTTCCCTATTCAGTTCATCTTTTGCTTCTGTAGGAGAATTTTTATAAAATTTAGGGACCAGCATATGTGAGGATCATTTTGTCCTGGAATAACCCCTATGTCTGTACCTATTCAATGACCACAGCTTTTGACTTTCAAAATTTTACCCCAGATTTATTCAGCTTTTATTTCAGACAACATTATATATTCTGCATATCCTTAGCCTGAAGCTGGAACCCAACTTAAATTCGATCAAGTCACAACAAGTTTCTAAAATGATGTGTCATTATCTCGTACAAGGTTGTCAATTATGAAGCTTATAAATAATTCCTCCTAACCCAAAGCTTTATTTCACTTCAGCATCAGTCTGGAGTTTATTTCAGCCTATCTCTGAGTTCCTCTTAAAGGGCAAGTTTCCATAAATTTGAACCCCAGAGAAAATTCATAAGACTTTTTTAAAAGATACAATTTTTATTTCAATAGGTTTTAAGCAATCCAGTAAAAGAGCTAAGTGGCCAAAGTAGTGGGACACCAATTTAATTTGTAACGTGCTCCATATTTGAGGGAAACACTATTCTTTTGACCTTTCATGGTCTAAATCAGACAATAATTCTCCTTCCTTCATAAATAGCCATTTGTCAGCAAAATAAAGATGCAAAAAATGATTGCATGTTTCCTCCCCATGTCTTACCTTCCCTTATTCCTGGTGGAGAGGGGATCCTTGATGAGAGATAGTGAAGAGAAAGATACTAATAGAGTAGATCAACTCATCAAGGTTAAGCAATGAGAACATATCAAGAGCAAGTTTTATTTCTCTTGTAGCTGCTCCTCTCTGAAGACTCTGAATGACTAAAGACTACTCTGACAGACAGCCACAGATGGAAGCATATGGCCATCTCTAAGATGAAGCCTGGGCATCAGAGTTGGAAGGAGAGTGCACAGAAATGTAAAAAGAGGTGGAAAATACGAAAGGGGCAGACAAAAGGTGGGAAACAGCAACAGAAGGGACTGTCTGATATGCAGCAGTGGCAGATTCTTTAAAAAGTTTATGGCTTGGGAGGCCAAGGTGGGCAGATCATGAGGTCAAGAGATCAAGACCATCCTGGCCAACATGGTGAAACCTTGTCTCTACTAAAAATACAAAAACTAGCTGGGCGTGGTGGTGCGTGCCTGTAGCCCCAGCTACTCAGGAGGCTGAGGCAGGAGAATCACTTGAACCCAGTAGGCAGAGGTTGCAGTGAGCCGAGATTGCACCACTGCACTCCAGCCTGGTGACAGAGTGAGACTCCACCACAAAAAAAAAAAAAAAAAAAAAAGTTTATGGCAACTTTACAGGAAAAGTTAACACACACGCACGTATTGCACCATTCTTCAGATTCTAAGTATGCTATCAACTTGTTGGAAATATGATTCTCTTCTTTCATTTAAGCACCTGTACCTGTTTGCTCCTCTAGATATTACAGACATAACTGAGGGGGTTATACAAGGAACCAGCATGCTAGGTTCCGTGAGGCCTGAAGTTGATTTTGAAGGTACAACTTTGAATGGGTTCTGTCTGGCTGTCTGTGGACGCCTCTTTTCTTAGAAGCAGCCCAATACCCTCGATATCACCCCGACCTATTAGCCATAGGCAAGGCCACAGCAAGCTCTTAAATCTCCCTCTCTAGCACCCCCTTACACTGTCCTCTTTCTCTTCCCTCAATCACTCAAATCTCCTACTTCAGTCTTGTCTGACCCAAGTATTTATTCTTTTGTTTGGATCGGATCAAGCTTCATTGCTGGGCCCTTTGGATTTGATGCCTGGGAACATCCTTTGGTTCTCCAGCCATTACTTTGGTTTCTTAACTCAATTCTCCTTTCTTCTACCCTCAGCTGAGGGCCAGCTCCACACTCAGGAACCCCAGCCTGGGCAGAATTCAAGGACTTTTTTGATAAGAAGACAAGTACAGACACACTCCTGAAGATTATACATTTCTTTTTTTTTTTTTTTTTTTTTTGAGACGGAGTTTCACTCTGTCGCCCAGGCTGGAGTGCAGTGGCGCGATCTCGACTCACTGCAAGCTCCGCCTCCCGGGTTCACGCCATTCTCCTGCCTCAGCCTCCCGTGTAGCTGGGACTACAGGCGCGCGCCACCATGCCCGGCTAATTTTTGTATTTTTAGTAGAGACGGGGTTTCACCGTGTTAGCCAGAATGGTCTTGATCTCCTGACCTCGTGATCCGCCCGTCTCGGCCTCCCAAAGTGCTGGGATTACAGGCGTGAGCCACCGTGCCCGGCCTATACATTTCTTTATGTCTACATCTCCTGGGATAATATTTTGAGTAAAGGAAAGAAAGAAAGAAAAATGTAGCCAACTACTTATCCCTCCCGCTATCAGCCATGCACAGCATAGATGAAGTAGGTGAGTAGATTACTAGACTGATCTCTTTCCCCTGCTCCCCACATTATTAACTTTTGGGAGTCATTCTTCTGAACAGTCACAGACTCTGTCAAAGACGATGTCTAAACAGCAGTGAATTAACAAGTTGGAAAACGTACCCATCAGATGAAGCCTTGTCTTTGTCTTGCCAGATCAACCA
The DNA here is from genome assembly GCF_000001405.40 of Homo sapiens. Taxonomy (NCBI): domain Eukaryota; kingdom Metazoa; phylum Chordata; class Mammalia; order Primates; family Hominidae; genus Homo; species Homo sapiens. The sequence goes on along the minus strand of NC_000010.11, from coordinate 89,960,289 downwards.
GTTTATTGTTTTTCACTAAGTTAACTGGGATGGCTGCTTTTGACAATAAGAAGGCACAGCTTGAAAGTGACTTGGCTTTGTTCAGTGAAATGATGAGTTTATTTGAAAACAAGAAAAAGCAGCATAGATTTGAACCCTATCCTCCCCTAAAAGTAGCTCCGTATGCCTTATGTAGGAATGGGTACAATCTTGGTGTTCAGAGAGAATGTGGTGAGTTTTTTCAGGCGATATAAGAAAACTATAATAACTTGTGACAGGGCAGAGATCGTCACAGAAAGATATCCTTAATTAGCCCCAATCTAATGCTGAGTCATTCGAGGGCATCAATTACTCATAATAGGAAGAAGTCCAAGAATCGTAACCAATCATCAATCAACATTTGCTGAGAATTTTCTCTGTAATCAGAACAATAATAGGAGTGCCTATGAGAAAGGAAAGACTCAAACCCTGACCTCAAATGGCCTGCAATTACTTGAGCCAAGACAGGCAACATAAAATATAAGGGAGGAATACAGGATTATATAGACCTCATAGGATGTAAGCTCCATTCTTCAGTAGAAATCTGGCTTTATGTGTAGGGCTATTCACAGGACTAACCTCTCACAGATGGCACGTTATAAGAATTCTCAGCTGTGGAAAACAGAGGTGGCTTCCATTTGTTTTCAGTTCTGTTACCTAGGTCTCTACTCTCATTTACACTTCCTTTATTTCTATGCCCACTACCGAAATCTTATCTGTGTGACACATGGGTCACACAATTAAAACTGCCACTATACTACATCTCCAGACTGCTCTGCACTTGAGAATTTCACGTATAATTTCATGTGCTGAAGAAATCATTAATGTTCCTAATGCATAAATGAAGAAATTGAAGCTCAAAGACTTTGTTTATTGTTTTCAAGACTGGCTGAGCAGTACAGTCACTTAGGAAGCTTTTTTTAAAAAAAATAATTTAATTAAATTAAAAAATTCTTGCCCACCTCAAAAGCACAGTAGATTAATTTGTTATAAATTACTAATTTGAGGGGAAAACTGGTTTGTCATAAGACACACAGCCTTAATATGGCAAAACCAAGAATCAGATCTCTAGTTCCTGTCTCCAAACTCAGCCAAACCATTCTACATCCTACAGTCAGACATTGCTTCACAAAGGACATTCATCTATATCTTATGTGATCCATGTTGTGTCACATGTGAAGGCTAGTCAAGGTACACTCTGGTGGGATTGCTGTGTGAGTATTTAAAAGTCTGTGCATGTGAGTTTTACCACACTCAGAATTAGAAGGTAAAAGCCCAGATTTTCAAGGAACTGAAAGGAATAAGACTTATTATCAGTTTGTCAATATTTTATGTAAAAGAGATGATGGAGAAAGAATTTCACAAGCTACCAATGAAAAAAGTTTTTTAAGAAATCTTTGAAAAACAAGGTTGTTGATGAACTGGAATTTCACTTTTAGTTCTCTCAAACCCCTATCTCATCAATTTGGGGTCCAAATTGGCATGGGGATGACGATGCCAATCAGGGGCATTATATATTCTCATGCCCTATGCAAGAGCACAAGAATATGGGAGAAATTAAACCTATTATCCTTAAACCTTATAGCCATTTCCTGATTCTGCCACTCAGAGATGTCTTTTTTTTTTTTTAACTAACATTAAGAATTAACATTAAGATGCACTATAAGTCAGAGCAGGACCTCCAAACGTTAATAATTGTGAATCATCTGGAAATCTTGTTAAGATAGATCCAGATCTGATTCAGTAGGTCTGGGGCCCTGAGAGTCTGCATTTCTGACCTGCTCCTAGGTGAGGCTGAGGCTGCTGTAGACCCAGCCAGACTTCGACTGCAAGTTGCTAAAATAAACCATGGTACCATCTGAGATGAGAAATGGCCCCTCTTACATAATTAACTAAGGTAACACATTGACAGCAACCAGAGGCTACCAATCAGAACAAACATTTAAGCAGTTATTGTGAAAAAAAAATCTTTACATGTGATTTATTTAAAATGTGTGGTCAGCTGAAGGTATTTCTGTGTTCCAGACTGACTGAGAGGGCTCTAGGGGCTAAAAAGTTTGAGGCAGTTTTCCTGGAACTACACACCTGGGAGAAATAATCAGATTGAACACCAACTGACACCCATGCCTCAGCATTCTCTTTTCGCTAGATCCATACCGTAAGTTATTACAGCAGGATTAATGTTGGGCAATAATAAGAAACCTCTGGAGAACGGTGAAATAAGGGGAACCAAGGACCAGTATGGAATTGGGACATAAGATTTCCTCTGAGAGTTAAGCTCTAAGGGAACTGAAACACAGATGTGCAAAGTTACCTTAAGACAGAAAGCCTCCTAAACCAATAACATTTGACTCTAATCTAAATGGGAAAATTATCCCACCTAAAGAAAACAGAGACCTCAAAAAGACTAATCGCAGAGACTAATTTTGACACTGTACAACTAAGAGAGAGAGAGTCCTGATTCAAGAACGTGAGGAGATTCACCTACATAGACAACATCTGATTTCACCATAGTGGAAATGTCAGACATTTAGTACCTAATGCCACAAAACAGGGGCTGGCAAACTACTGTCCATGGGCCAAATCTGGCTGAATCCCATTCTTTTAAATAAAGTTTTATTGGTACCACAGGTGCATCCATTTGTTTACACATCATCTATGGCTGCTTTTGCACTACACTATCAGAGTTGAGTAGTCTTGACAAAGGTTATATGGCCCACAAAGCCTGAAATATTTACTGCCCAGCCCTTTACAGAAGAAGTTTGCCAACGCTTGCCATAAAGCTTTTCAATTATATAACTAATTCCCCTTGCTCTGATTCCACACTAGCCAAGCAAACTTCTGATTATAATTGGTTTCCTGGGTAGTACAGCTGAACATTCCAAACTCCAAATTCTGAAATCCAAAATGCTCTAAAGTGCAAAACTTTTTGGGCATCAACATGACTTTTAAAAGAAATGCTCATTGGAGCATTTTGAATTTCAAATTTTCAGATTAGTGATGCTCAGCTAGTAATATTACTGTAAATATTCCAAAATCTGAAAAAGTCTGAAACATCTCTGGTCTCAAGCATTTCAGATAAGGGACACTCGATCTACCAACAAAGGAGAGAGCCCCTTGAAAGTGTGTTGGTTATTTCTAGCTGTATTTGCATTCTAGGGTTTTGGAGGTTTTTAACGTAATGTCTGGGAGCTTGCCTTATCTGAATCATCCGAATGATGATTTCTTTCTAAATTTGCTTTTTTTAAAAAAAAAATCACTTTTCTAGTGATACATATAAAAGAAACTAATGAACTAGGTCATGAAGTATGAATAGCAGTGTCAGACATTCAAGACAAAAGGAACAGCATACTTAAAAATGAAGTTGTAGACAAAGTATTAACTGTTTCAAAATGTTGGATTTTCTAAAGACCATTTAAATGCTGATGCCATTTATCTTTAGGAAGCTGGTATTGTTTGCCACAGTTATAACAAGCTATTGTTATAATTTCTGCTTATTATTAGAATCCAATAGAATTTTTACAGTTTGTTTTGAACACTTCTGTCATCTATTGTTCAGTTTGTTTTCATTATGAAATTCAGGTTTACTCTCAGTTTCTCCCAAAAATAGTAATTAACTATTCTGGGAATAATAATTTTAACTGGTTCATAAATGAGCATATACTAAACAACACTACTGTGCTGTATATAAATCTGACTCATATATTTTATAGCTCTTACTTCTTAGAAATAGAAAAACTTGCTTCTATATTAGAAAAGAAATCACTTTTCTAAGCCTATAAGACTAATACCTAGACATTTAGATTGTGGTGGGTTCACTTTTCTTCTTGTTAGAGGGCACTCTGAATCACTCTTCTGGTGAAGATCTCTGGGAGTTACATGCAAGCGGTGGGCCTGGGCCCATTTCCACATCCCACAAAGAGTGCATTTACTTTGTGTATCCAGAAGAGCAAAACTCCCAACTCTACTGCTTTGTTTTCAAACGGACAGCCAAGCATTCGATGTCTTCAGCTTCACTCTCTACTTTGTGCTTGGGTTCCATTTCTGGTTCATATAGGTATTTACCTTATTTTTTAACTTGACTTTGCCTTTTTATCCCTCTTTATGTTTTTATTTATGTTGTATATTCTTTTATGTATTTGAAAGAGAAGGGGAGTGTCCTGTTATGAACATGCTATACCATCTTGACTAAGAACCCCTTTGCTGATACCCAATGGGATTCCTTTATCTGGTCTAACTGACTAGATATTTTATCATTTATTTTTCAGTCAAGGTTTATTGAGCACAATATGATGGTGTAGGCATCTTTGGAGATATGCTATCTGCAGGTTCAGCTTTGGAGATTCAGAAGTGACATGCACATGCCTCTGACACTCTCATGGAGTTCACAGTTGGAGGTAAGCTGAACCATTTGGCAATCTACCTCACAGATTGAACACAATTGCCAAATTGACCGTTCCCCAACTCAGGTTCATTTCCATCATGACAAACTAATCTTTCCATTTCAGTAAAGTTTCATGGTACCTCTTTGCCTATAGGAAGCCATGCAACTCATCAAAATCTACTTGTTATCTAAGTTAGTTTTTTTCTAACAATACCCTAAATATATAGTTCTTCTACAACTTTGATGATATATCCACAATTAATGGATACAACACAACAAGAAACTCAGCAATACTAAATTTTTCAGTCCACCAGTGTCTTTGAAGAGAATATTTGTATTAGCATTTTGTTGCTCATTTATTTCATTCTGCAAAGTTTAAGAAACAACAGATACCTTCCTCACAGTGCAGCATTCTTGAGAAGGGTGCAGAGTGACTGGGTTTTCTCCTGGGTTTACCCAGGCACTTTTTTATTCACTCATCTGTTTCAGAAATAGTCACTATCCTGTTGTCTTCAGCTCCCAGCTTGGGAAACCCACAGAGTCTTTCCCTCCAGGTCACCATTGAGTTTGGCATGCTGTTGACCCTCAGTACATCATACAGCAACTACAAAACAGTAATTTTGTTCTCAGTGCACCCACAGGGCCATTTACTTTGCAGCATCATTCAGAACTTTCAGCAATAACTTTCCTACTTCAAAAAAGATAAAGAGAAGCAGCATGAGGAATCCTTGATGGAAACAAAGCTGAAACAAATATAATCTCTTATAGGATTTTTCTACATAAAATAATGCAAAATCACAACTTATTAAGTCCACAACTTAAAGCAAAATGTATGAAATTACTTTTCACCACAAGTTTTTACTGATATGAATAATGGCTATACTGTCTATATTTTAAATTAACCTTAATGCCATCTAGTGGTCACTGAGAAATTTTTGTTTCAGAAAATTGTTAACTTTAGAAATTGTTAATAACAAAGTAGTAGGAATAACAATAACTGCTGTTGCTGAAGAGACTTATTGAACACCTACAATTCTTCAGAGCTCTATGTTCAGCATTTTATGTTCATTATCTTGTTTTATCTATACAACAACCTAAATAGGTACCGCAGCGCAGTTATGCAAATGAAGAAACCAAAACTTAGTGGTATTAAATGACATGCCATATTCAGAGATCTAGTAAATATCTGACTGGTTTTCAAACCCAATTAGTCTAGTCCATTGCCTTCACACTCATCCAGAATTCTATGCCTCTACTAAACCTCGGTTGTGACTATAGAATATGGTTAATAGACTAACACACATGCACACACACACACACTCACACACAAATGCTAATGTGTTTGAAGGGAGGTGCAACCTCACATTTCCACTCTACAACCAACTCTTATCATGTTCCAATTCCCAGGCTTCTCCTTCAAGCAAGATTTTAATTGCATGGGGATGTTTACATATTCGAAATTCACATATGGTATCTCTAAAATGTGATGGATTCACTCATTCATGCAACAAATAGTTACTGAACTCATGCGTTAGACTCTGTGCTAGGTAATGGGAATGCAGCAGGGAACCAAACAGACACAGTCCTTCCTTTCATGGAGCTTAAAGTACAGCAGGAGGACAGACACATAAATTACATGGATCATGATACAAACTCATTGTGGAAAGAGCAGCTGGGAAAAATGCAGAGTGCTGGCAGGGTGTTTAGTTGGATGACCTTCCTTTGGCACCTAAGCGTTGAGTGAGAAGGGGAGTGAGGGAAGACATCTCTAAAGGAAGGACCTTTAAGAGGAGTCATGAAAGAGTGGGAGTGGGAGTGGGAGTGGGACTGAGCTGGGTGCAGGAGGGCAGCATAGGGATTCCAGGAAAAGCACCTGAGCAGCAAGCAGAAGAGTGTCTCCTAAGGCTCTGCTCCCAGACATTACACTCACACAGTGGAAGCACGACAGTAAGTCAATATGCAATTCAGGCACTCTTAATTCTTGTGCTGTAAATGGAACTTGGATAAAGACCATAATTAAGTCATACTTTTTTATACTTTGAACAAATCACTTTTACTGAAAATACTAAAATTGCATGATGTTGCACTTTATTTGAATACCCAAACATAATGGTACCTATCTATGCTAACTGAAGTTTCCATTGGTACTTATGAATAATTCAAATGCCTCCTAAATAAGATTTTTAGTTTGGTTGGAGATTATGAAAATAACACTCATGGCAGATAATGTGAATAACACAGAAGGAACCAAGGAAAAAAGAAGAAAAACAACTAATCCTCATATCTCACAACCCAGAGGCAAATAATGTAAACCTTTTGGAATGCTTCCTTCCAGTCTTTTTCTCTATTAATATTTTATAAAAATAAGATTTTATAATTTAATTTATTCATTCAGTGTAATAATTATTTCATTTGTTTTTACAAACTCTTTGTTAATATCACTGTAATAGCCAGATGCTATTTTATTAGGTGGACACATCCTAGTTTACTTAACCCATTTCCAAGCTGTTCAGTAGGTGGATTGTTTCCAATGTTTACTAAACAATGAATGACATATGAATAATGAATGGCATATGACAAATAATATATAATAAATAACACATTGCATAAAACTAACTTTTTTATAACGGTTTGTCCACCAGAATAGAACTCAGTAAATAGTAGACATTATTGTCAAGTGGTTAAGTAACTGACACAGCTTATTTGTATATCTGAAAAGAATTTAGAAAGTAACAAAGCAATTTACAAAAGCAAAACCACTGCTCAAGAACATTGACTATCAACCACCTCTTCCCATTCTTCCTTGTACTGTGAGTTGATTTCTGCCTTGATCTTAAGACAGGCTGCAGTAAAAGTTAATGGGTATTTTTGTCATGTTGGAGAATCCCAGGAAGCCATTCTAAAATCCCATTTGTGAAATGATGTGTCACATTAACACATTTTATGGGCTTAATCTTGTGCTGCTAATTGAATAATTTAATATTTGTGACACTAGCTTGACTCACACAATTACACACACACACAAAAAAAAGGAGTTGTAAGCTGTTACATCTCAGCTGTTCTTTACTTTGAGCATGCCCTGGTGTTTTTTAAGCTATATTTAGTGTTTTGCCATTTACAAGACAACTTCTATCTCTTTGGATATTTGCTTGATGTGAATGCAAATTGGAGTTGCAAGTTTTCTTCTTCTAACTAGGTACTCTTTAGTAGGTATATGCCCAGTCCAGATGCCAGGACTCTTAAACAGAGTTTTCACTGAGAGGCATTGACAAGATATAGAAATTACATCCTTGTGCCATGAGTAAGGACAGTGGTAATGACAGTGGCAGGCCATCTAAAGCAGCTGCTGTCATCACACTGGCTGCTGCAGGGAGACAGCGCTGGGGCTGCACACTCCAGGGAGCCAGCAGGAGCCAGGGACAAGTGAGAGCCCTGCCCCTTCCAAATTGAGGCAGAGGCTCCCTGGGTACCACTGCAGCCAACCAAGCTATGGCTGCAAACCTGGGCATCCCTGTGCTCTCAGGACCCAGAAGCAGGTGGGAACCCCACTCTTCTGGGTGCAGCTGCAACTGCCCAAACCACAGCTGTGGACTCAGGTATCCCTGTACTTTTGGGGACCAAGGAAGGCCCTCCTTGCCCTCACAAGCTCAGAAGTGGGAAGTGCTTGCTCCCGCTGCTCTTGCTGGCTTCTGCCTGCTCTTGGTGCCCATTCCGATCTCAGAGCAAAGTCAGGGCTGAACCCAGGCACTGACATGGCCCAGTGAGGTGTGCACATGCTTGGGGCAGTGCTGACATGTTAGCCCCCTGCCACCTTGGCCCCCTCTGGACTTTAGGGGCTAATGAGCATAGTAGGGAAGCTGAGCAGGGGTGGCTGAGGGCAGCTCTTGGCACCTACAGCCTGGGTGCCATGAATGACAGTAGGAAGCAGCGAGGTTCCTGGAAAGGAGGGAATGGGTCCCCAGTAAGGTGCTGCTTTCAAGCAAGGGAGGGCCTGAAGGCTGGGTGCTGGGCTGCCAGTCCCACAGACCAGAGTAGAATCTTGTGACGCCTTTTCCAGGCCTTCCATGGGTGCCCATGGACCAATAAACACATACTTCCTCCCCTTTGAGGTCCATAAAAGCCCTGGACTCAGCCAGAGCTGAGCAGACATTGGGACAATCAGCTGCAGAGAGGAGCAACTCACTCTAGGGCCTCCTTTCTGCTGAGAACTGCAGAGACAACAGAGAGAGAATGGAGAGATAACAGGATGACCTGCCAGCAGAGACGAGCCACCCACTCTAGGGCCTCCTCTCTGCTGGCAGCTGCTCAGATGATGGGACAACCAGCTGCAGAGAGGAGCTACCCTCTCTGCTGATAGCTGGACACTTGTTGAGATGACTTGCCTAGCAGAGAGGAGCTACCCTCTCTGCTAGGAGCTGAACACTCATCAGGACACCCTGGCTGCAGCAAGGAGCATCCCCCTGTGGGTTTCCCCTCAGTTGTTCTATCACTCAGTAGAGCTCCTCCTCATCATGCTCACTCTCCACTTATCTGCCTACCTCATTCTTCCTGGGCACAGGACAAGAACTCAGGATCTGCTGAATAAGGCTAAAAGAGCTGTAACACAAACAGAGATGAGATATGCCCCATTGTTCACCATGTCGCAGGTGAAGAGAAGGAAAGAAATGCTGCAGCCCTTCAGGGACCCCAGACACGGGAGCTCCTTGAGTTAAGCCCGTGACTCCCTCTTTGAGGCCCTGTGGTTCCTGGCATCTCCAAGCTTCTGGGAAGCATTATATTCCTCAGTGCCAGCTGTGGAAGCTGTTTGCAGGGCACCTGGTCCAGCTGCAGGCTCGCAGAGAGCTGGTGCCCATGCTGGCACCTGGAGCTGCCCACCCTACTACATCAGCTGACATGCCTGATTGCACAGTGGCCAGACCCCACACTCACTCACACACCCGTCGCCACTCCATGCAGCCTTATTTGGCAGGCATGGGAACCACGCCAGTAGCATAAGCCAAGTGCAGCCTCCCAGGCCAAGTGGGCAGAATGAGACCAGTGGGCTCAGGCAAAACTTGGGCAAAGATGTCACCAGCCACAGAAGTTTCCAGCCAGAAAAGCAACACCCCAAAGATCAGATAACAGTGGGAGATGAAAGGTGATGTTTTGAATGGCAGTACTGGACTTCTCAGAGCTTTTAACAATCCTTTCACCCCACAGCCTACAGATGAAAAGGGTGACTATGTAGACTGGTCCATAGTGACCACATAAATACGTGCCACTTATACGGAATCTGGTGAAAGCAGGAGATCTTCAGGGTTAAGTCTGACATTTCAGAGTCAAACTCACTAAGTTTGACCCTTGGCTCATCTATACATTATAAACAACCTTGGGCAAGTATGTCACCTAACCTTTTAATAAGTCACTTTCCTTTTTTAAAAAATGGAGATAAAAATGATGCCTACTATATAGGATTGTTGGGAAGAGTAAATGAAATAATTTATGGAGAGCTCCTAGCACAGTGTCTGGCACATGGAAAACACCCGTTTATTATTATTGTTACTATAACTATTAGTCTTTTGCATCAGTGAGTTAAATTTTTACTTCCATTAGATCTATCTGATGTGTAATGTACTCTTCAAACATCCTTTATTTCTTATTCTAATATAATGCACTGTCAAAAATCTGTTCTCCTTGGTAACAATCTATAATTTGAAATGCACAACTTGTTGGAAGGGCAGAAGGACAGGTAATGAATACCTTAGAATTACTTTGACTTAAATAAATATTTCCTTTCCTTCATTGAAAAGCTCTATGGAGAAAGGAACCATGTCTGCTTTGTTGACCAGCTGCAAGCATGGTGTCTGGCACACAATGGGCACATACGTAGTATGTATTTAAGTGGGTAGATAAATAGTCTTAAAACAATTCCCCAATTTTACAAATGCCCATTTCTGAGCTCAGTTCAACTGAACATATTTTCTTTCTTTTTTTTTTTTAACAGAAGTCACCAGAATGGAACCTTTTTGTTAAGCTTTCCCTTTACCTCAGATAGACAGCTGTCCTTGACAAACACAAAGTCAGTCTTGGCTGTCTCAGAAAAGCACTGTGTGTCAATGTCAGAGAGCCCAGTGGGCCTAGCATAAGGTTCACAACATTTCTAACTCTTCAAATCAAGTATTATTTTGGAAGTTGCCAACTTAACAAGCAACTTTGACTCCATGCAAACTAAAAATGGCATTTGAAAGTTGAAATTTCATTAAATCTGCTGTTTTCTGAGACTTCATCCAACTGGGACATCTGTTTGTAACACCAAAGGGGTATGTAATCCCAAAATTATGATTGGATTATATTCAAGTCATTAAAAAAGATGAATTCATGACATATTACTTTTAGGCAAACTCAATCTATATTACTGTCTGCATTCTCTCCTCTGCTAACGAAGAGACTCTCCTCTTCCCTTACAAATTCTTGTTTTGTGCTTTATCAGAATGTCCAGGCCAAAGCAATTTAACGCAATATCAAATTCATACTCTAGAATATAACCTCCTTCCACAAACTCTTTTTTATGTTTTTCTTTATTTTTAATTTTTCTGGGTACATAGTAGGTGTATATATTTATAGGGTACATGAGATGTTTTGATACAGACATGCAATGTGAAATAAGCCCATTATGGAGAATGGGGTATCCATCCCCTCAAGCATTTATCCCTTGCATTACGAACAATTCAATTACACTCTTTTAGGTATTTTTAAATGTGCAATTAAATTATTATTGACTATAGTCACCCTGTTGTGCTATCAAATAGTAGGTCTTATTCATTCTTTCTATTTTTTGTACTCATTAACCATCCCCACCTCCCACCCAGGCCCCTACTACCCTTCCTAGCCTCCTGTAACCATCCTTCTACTCTAAATGTCTAGAAGTTGAATTGTTTTGATTTTTGGACTCCATGCATAAACGAGAACATGAGGTGCTTGTCTTGCTGTGCCTGGCTTATTTCACTTAACATAACAATCTCCAGTTCCGTTCATGTTATTGCAAATGACAGGATCTCATTCTTTTTAATGGCTGAATAGTACTCATTGAATATATGTACCACATTTTCTTTATCCATTCATCTGTTGATGAACACTTAGGTTGCTTCCAAATCTTAGCTATTGTGAACAGTGCTACAACAAACACGGGAGTGAAGATATCTCTTTGGTGTATTGATTTCCTTTCTTTTGAGTATATACCCAGCAGGGAGATTGCTGGATAGTAAGGCAGCTCAATGTTTAGTTTTTTGAGGAACCTCCGAACTGTTCTCCTTAGTGATTGTACTAATTTATACTCCTGTCAACAATGTGTAAGGTTCCCCTTTTCTCCACATCCTCACCAGTATTTGTTATTGCCTGACTTTTGAATATAAGCCATTTTAACTGTAGTGAGAAGATATCTCATTGTAATTTTAATTGACATTTCTCCAGTGATCAATGATATGAGCAACTTTTCATATACCTATTTGTCACTTGTATGTCTTCTTTTGGGAAATGTCTATTCAAATCTTTTGCTCATTTTTGATCAGATTGTTAGATGTTTTCTTATTGAGTTGTTTGAGATGCTTATATATTCTGGTTACTAAACCCTTGTCAGCTAGGTAGTTGCAAGTATTTTCTCCCATTCTGTGGGTTGTTTCTTCACTTTATTGATTGCTTCCTTTGCTGCGCAGAAGATTTTTAACTTTGTGTGATCCCATTCATTCATTTTTGCTTTGGTTGCCTGTGTTTGTAAGGTATTGCTCAATAAATTTTTGCCCAGACCAATGTCATGGAGAATTCTCTCAAAGTTTTCTTCTAGTAGTTTTATAGTTTGAGGTTTTAGATTTATGTCTTTAATCTGTTTTGATTTAATTTTATATATGGCAAGAGATAGGGATCTAGCTTCATTCTTCTGCATATGGATATCCCATTTTCCCAGCACCATTTATTGAAAAGACTGTCCTTTCCACAATGTAGTTTCTTGATGCCTTTGTCAAAAATGAGCTCACTGTAGATGTATGCATTTGTTTCTGAGTTCTCTATTCTGTCCCATTGCTCTATGTGTCCGTGTTTATGCCAGTACCATGCCATTTTGGTTACTCTAGCTCTATAGTATGATTTGAAGTTAGGTAATGTGATTCCTCCAGTTTTGTTCTTTTTGCTTAGGATAGCTTTGGCTATTCTGGGTCTTTTGTGGTTCCATATAAATTGTAGGATTGTTTTTTCTATTTCTGTGAAGAATGTCATTGGTATTTTAATAGAGATTGCATTGAAACTGTAGATTGCTTTGGGTAGTGTGGACATTTTAACAATATTGATTCTTCCAATCTGTGAACGTGGAATATTTTTCCATTTTCTGGTGTCCTCTTCCACTTTTTTCATTAGTGTTTTAGAATTTTATCACAGAGATCTTTCATTTCTTTGGCTAAGTTGATTTCTAGGTATTTAATTTTATTCATGGTTCTTGTAAGTGAGGTTACTTTTTAAATTTATTTTTTAGATTGTTCACTATTGGCATATGATTTTTGCATATTGGTTTTGTATCCTACAACTTTACTGAATTTGTTTATCAGTTCTAATAGGTTTTTTGTGGAGTCTTTAGGTTTTTCCAAATACAAGATCATATCATCTGCAAACAAGGATAATTTGACTACTTCCATTCCAAATTGCATGCCCTTTATTTCTCCTGTCTGATTTCTCTAGCTAGAACTTTCAGTACTATGTTGAATAACAGTGGTGAAAGTGGGCCTCCTTGCCATGTTCCAGATCTTAGAGGAAAAGCTTCAGATTTTCCCCATTCAGTATGATACTAGCTGTGGGTCTGTAATATATGTTTTTTTATGTTTAGGTGTGGCCCTTATATACCCAGATTTTTAAGAGTTTTATCATGAAGTGATGTTGAATTTTATCAAATGCTTTTTCAGCATCAATTGAAATAATCATATGGTTTTGTCCTTCATTCTGTTGATATGATGTACCATATTGATTGATTTGCATACGTTGAGCCATCCTGGCATGGCAGGGATAAATGCTACTTGATCATGATGAATGATCTTTCTAAAGTATTGTTGAATTTGGTTTGCTAGTATTTTGTTGAAGATTTTTGCGTCAATATTTATCAGAGATATTGGCCTGTCGTTTTCCTTTTTGATGTGTCTTTCATGGCATCAGGGTAATACCGGCCTCATACAATGAGTTTGGAAGTATTTCCTCCTTTTCTATTTTTCAGAATAGATTAAGTGGAATTGGTATTAGTTCTTTAAGTGTTTGGTAGAATTCAGCAGTGAAGCTATCAGGTCCTGGACTTTTCCTTCCACAAATTCTGAAATGAATCTTTTTTTAATATTAAAGATGCCCTGTATCTGGGGTGGTCATGCATCTTAGTTTGCCTGGAATCGTTACATTTCATGAGACTTGACATTTATTTGCCTTGGAATTTTATAACAACTGCACTGAAATGTTATCCAGCTTAGCATTTTTTCTGATTTTATTTTCATTTGTAATAAAGTGTTATTATTAGTAGTAGTAGTAGACTTAAAATAGGCATGGTTAGGATTGGTTGACTTTCACTTTCAGTTTCCAGCCTCTGTTATGGTCTCATTTAGTAGTATGTCAGATGCATTTGCAGTAAATAGACTTCTCACTTTAACTTGTAGTTAAGTCTGGAAGATAACCGGCAATCACCCTCTCTCTATTCCTGACCTTCTCCAGACCCTTTTGAGGACAGCACATGCGGTGCTAAAATGAAGTATCCTTAGTTCTACTAATTTTAGGAGGTAATATGCCATGTATTAAGTGCCAAAAACTTCTGGTTTTGAAGCTTTTATCAAACTGCAATTATTGAAAGCAAATCTTGCAAGCATAAAGACAAGTTTATCCTTAAAAGGCATCCTTGTTAGCTTATCCTTGTGTTCTACTAACACAAGGAATGAATTCTTGTGTTCATTCTTATTAAAAAAAATAATGAGACAGTTTAAGCAAGGGGCCAAGTGATATAGATTTATTTTTGAAATTCTATAATTGCTCTTTGAAGTATCTTGACTTAGGGGAAGAAAATTGATGCAACCCTGGGGAGGAGAGTAAAAAAGCAGCTCACATACCAAAGACAGCTAACCAAAAGCAATGAACTCCTCAAAAGCAACATAATTCTTTGGGAGGCTGAGGCAGGCAGATCGCTTGAGGTCAGGAGTTCGAGACCAACCTGGGCAACATGGCAAAATCCTGCCTCTACAAAAAGTTAGCCAGATGTGGTACTGCACGCCTGTAGTTCCATCTACGCAGGAGGCTGAGGTGGGACAATCACCTAAGCCTGAGGAGGTGAGGCTTCAGCAAGCCATGATTGTGCCACTGCATTCCAGCCTGGATGACAGAATAAGACTCTATCTCAGGAAAAAAAAAAAAAAGACACTTTAAGACAAACAAGCTTTTAAGAAATTTACCTCCTATGCATCTTCTTTCTCAGGAAGCTACTGGAAGGCATTCCTCTCCAAAAATGAGAGCAAAACCCAAGAAAGAGTAAAACAAAGAATCCAGGATATAGGGAATCCAACATAGAAGAGAGCAAAGAAATTTCTTAGAAGGAGAGTGAGGGCAGACTCAGAATAGTTAGTGTCAAGAGCAATTAGTCCAGATTCAATGATGCAGGAGTCTTCAGAGATGTTTCCGACAAAGAAAAAAGTTACTAATAAATGATGTGTTACTTACATTGTAAAATATTATTTTGAGAAGTGTGAGGCTGATTTAGTTAGGGGTTTAAAAGTAAGCATTTAAAATGAGGTGTTTATGAATTTGTAAAAAACAAAAAGTTGAACAAGAAAGAAAATGTCATAACACACTATAAGGAAATATAACACACCATAAGATTAAGCTACAAGAAATATTATGTTTATTATATTCACTATATATACACACCCACACACACATATATATAGTGAAAACATTGACTTTTTTTGCCTCCCAGTTATGATTGTGATAGAACCATTTTGTACTTGGGTGTGCAAGGGGAGAGGAGGTTCTAAGCTTATTAAATTAAACAGAAAAATAAATGATCATATTTAAAACCAAGAAGCAAAATAAATAGATGAATAAATGGATTATTTATAAATAAGGAGATAAATGCCTGAAACAACTGCTAAAATGGTTGAAAGTGGTGGTGCCTGTATGGCATAAGCAGATGAGGAAGAAAGAAAAGGGGCAGATGAACGCTCTTTTCTGTTTTTGACCTTGAAATACTCTTTGACTTAAAAAATGTATGTGTATTATATAGATTCAAAAACTAGCACTTTCCAATTTCTCCACCCTCCATCCCCAATCTTTTTTTAACAATTGGTGAGAAAGGCATCTTGTGTAGGTTTGAGGAGAAGGGCAGGAGAGGAAATGGATAACAAGGAACTTGGACGGCCCTGAGGATGGGAGAAGAAAGCAACTGACTCCACAGTTTAACTTCAGGCCAACCCTCCAGATAACAGTGTCAGAGAATTCCTTTGCAGAATCTAGGGCTTGGCACACTCATCAGTCATGCCTTTCATAATGACAGCTAAGACATGTGTTGTAATCTGTCATCAGAGGCCCTCCTGCAAGTGATCTGGAAAAGTGAACAAATACCTTGCAGTAGATATTGGTTCTAACTAAACCTGTCAGTTTAGTCAGATACTGTCTTTTTTGTGATGGTAAGTTCTTGCTGTGTAACTTTCTTCAGTGTGTCCAGTAATTTTGGTGTTCAGTCTTTCTATGTGACCAGTAATCCAGAGGATAAATAAAAGGGTAGTTACATAACTAGTTAATATGATGTGCATGCGTGCCTAGGTCTCTAGCCAGGCTGTCATCCCTCTTACAATATTAGCTGTGCTTTATGCATTTTAATTTTTTCAGTAATTCTTCATTAACATTTAATTGCAGGTAATAAGTAGGAAAAGACTCCCAAATGCTTAAATAAGAACCAGTCTGATTATTTTGTACCCCCATGCCTAGGAGAGTCCATGCCATTCAATTAAAACAACAATTAATGAGCATAATCTGGGTACTGTGAGGGGTTTAAAAATATGAGAATCAGATAAGGATTCAGTTGCCTGGGGACTGACTTCCTAGCACTAGAGAGAGAGAGATGTATAGAACTATCTCCATCCACTGAAGATTCTTAGATGCTAAATGGGTACAGATGAGTGTCCAGTGAAAGTCATTCTGGCTGGAGGCTGAGGATAATAACTGGGCCTTGAAGACCAGGTAGGATTTCTTGGTGGAGATGAGTGGCATGGAAACTAAGTAAAGGGAATAGTGTGGGAAAAGGCTCAGGGAAGGTAGAGTGCATTTGGAGAATAAGAAGTGGAAGGGTGTTATTGGACCACAGCATAATGCAAGGACAGGACATGTCCATTGAAGACCGCAAGGAGCTGAAAGCAGAAACTTCTTTGGAAGAAAGATAATGACTTTAGTTTCCTATTCCCAAAATTTATCTTTTGTATTGAAGACTTGTTTCCTGGGAGACTTAAATCATGTCCAAGATAGAAATGAGATGATTGGTAAAGGGAAGTGGTCTGGAAGTGATTGTGAGAACATGGTGATAATTTAAATGCAAGTACCTTCAGTGAGTGACTATAAATGCAACACAGAGGAGCCAATGAGGGGTTGGGGTGAGCTTAGAAATTAGGCAGTCAGTACTACAGAGGTAAAAAATCATAAGGGTGAATGAGCTCACATGAGGAGTGAGTGCAAAGGATGGAAGGCCGAAGATAGATTCTGTTAGTAGACAGAAACCAATAAATACAGAAGAGGTGGTCATCAGAAGGGTAGTAGAGCTGCAGGGGAGAAAGCATGTGTCACAGAAACCCAAAGTGGGTAAAACTAGAACTGATGGGTGGTTGACTATTAAAAGCCATTCAGACACAACTGAGTGAAGACTTGGAAAAGGCTATTTAGTCTGGAAGCTTAGAAGTCACTAGTAAATTTTGAAAGTAAACATGACTGGGGGCCGGAGTAAGGCATCAAAGAAGGGATGAAAGGAGATGGAGACGGAAGGAGAGGAGAAGACAATGTAAGCAAACCTCTTAAGAAAACTAGATTAGATGATTAGCCCCTTAGTAACCAGGTTAATTACAATAAACCTGTGGATTTAACAACACCTGTCAACAAATGAACAAACAGATGCAGCTTCCTGTATTGATATATAAATATTTCTATTCAGTGTCCATTCATATTTTCTTACTTTATTGCATTCTCTTTGATTTTACTTGACGTTGTCCATTTAATTTGGAGATATCGGGACTATACAATTTGGGGATTAATTTAATTACTTCCTGTTTTCTATGTCACTATTACTTGGCAATTTCATATGGTTCAAACCAATTAAAAGGAAGTAATAAATTACTTTATTGCCAATAATCAGCAGCACAGTAGTACAGGCTCATTCAGAACACTGGGTACTTGAGACATGTTTTCTGGTTTTGTGGTCTAACCACCCATTTTTACTATGGCCAACAGAGTGTGGCTAGAGAGTCTGAATAGCAACTAGAATGCAGACAGGGTGTGGTGGGAGGAAAGTGGTCCAGGAGAGAGGTTAGAAGAGACCACAGAGGAAGGGAAAGTCAATAGCCTTAGGAGAGTCTCACAGACCACCCTAGCGTCTACTGGGATTTATTCTGGGTGAAATAGCATATAGTCACCTAAGTTATCTGGTTTCTTAGCCACATCTGCCTTTCATATCATGTCACCAATACTTTACTGAAGATTATTTTCAATATAGTTTTATTATTTGTAAGTATTTCTAAAATTGCCCACAGTCTTCTTGAAAGCTTCACTTAATGGTTTATAAATTAAAAGTTCTTGACATCTTCCATCAACTCTTTCTTAGAACTATAATAGTTCCAACTGAGAATATATTCGGAGGTACTGGGGAATATTCGGTAAGTTAAGAGTAAATTATGTTCAGTGGTGATATTCTCAATCCTAATTTTCTTGATAGTGAATTAAATATTTTATCCCAGATATTTTCACAGGTTTGTCTTTTTAACTTCATTCATAGTACCTGTTCTTTAACAGATGTTTTTCAAGAAAAAACTTGTTGAATAAGTTGTCTCTGTGATTGTTTTGAATATGTGGCCATAATATTTAGATGCTGCAAAATTGTAGAAATTATCCATTTCATTGCATTTTAGAATAGAATATGACTTTGTCCTGTTTACTAACACTTTTGTGCAATAATTCCATGCAAAGCCTATTATTTCCGTGGTTTCCCAATGACTTTCAGTACTGCAGTTGACTTCTGATGCTAACCACCTGGAGTTAGGTTAAATAAACTTCATCAGTTAAGGGCACAGTCCCTCCTAGTCTGCCCTCACTTCAGACACCACCCATAGGCTCAGGGGTTGCCAGGCCACCTGCACTTCTGATCAACTAGTTATAAATCCAGGGGTTTCGACTACCCTCTCACGTTCAATAAGTCATTATAACAATTCACGGAACTCAAGAAAGTGTTGTACTTGCAACTGCTGTTTCATTACAGCAAAAAAGGATGCAAATCAAAACTAGCCAGTGAAAATAAGAGACACATAGGGCACGATCTAGGAGGGTCTCAGATGCAGGATTTCCATGTCCTCTCCTCATGGGGTCAGGGTATATTACCCTCCCGGCATATCAGTGTGCACCACCAGCCAGAAAGCTGACCAAACTCCAAGTATCCAGAGTTTTTATTAGTGTTTCATTATGCCAGCATGATTTAATTGAATCTTCAACACTTCTCCACCCAACTCCAGAGATTGGGATGTCAGGCTGATATCACATGGCTCAAAGCCCCAAGCCTCTAAATCATGGTTGGTCTTTCTGTCATGGCCAGTCTCCATTCTGAAATCAAATAGGATAGGGACCCACTAGTAGTTACCTCACTAACGTAAACCCAGGTGTGTTTCAAGGGGCCCACCACAAATAACAAAAACACTCCTATCTCTTCAGAAATCCCAGGGTTTAAAGGCTTCCTCTCAGAAACTGAAACCAACGTCCAGCCAAATTTTTCACACAACAAAAAAATCATAATCCTTTTATGAAATAAAATCTTAGGAATATCTTTTTTAATTAGGAAAGCTAGGTAAAAGCAGAACTTCTGTGATCAAAGCCTGTGGTTATTGTTTTGCATCATTAAATGAGTGAAAAATGAAATGTCCAACTCAAAAAACAAATAGATTTAAAACATCAGATATTTGAAAGTGGGGGTCACCTACATTCCTAAACACTGATGACAAGATTTTTGTAGAAATCTTAGTTGTGAAAGCAAACGAAAATAACAGAGTATTCTACCAACAGTGCCTAAAGGGATAAATTCCATGTGCCTAAAAGGATGTGGAAAGAGCTGAGGAACTGGAAAGCATGAGAGAACAAAAAGATGGAAAAGAGAAAAGCATTTCTTCTGTTTGGATCCAGAAGTAGAGAATGATTTAAAAATGTCTTCTTGCAGGTCATGCAAGTATATATCAGGGCAGATAAGCCCTAAAACATGAAAGCTGGTATACTCCAATGCAATAAGGCCAGCGATTGTTCCTACACTCATGAGATTGTGGTTGAAAGCAACTAAGGTCACCAGGGGAGTAAGGCAAGGCTGGCATGCAGCCCTTGTTGCCATGAGGCCTGTGGACCTGCCAATAGTCATAAGCATGTTTGAACACAGAATCACAACATTAAGACTGGATCCAGCCAAGGTGCAGGAAGGAGGTATCACACAGGTAAAGTTCAAGTTTGGAAAGAAGCCTTTAAAATATACCAAGGGTGTTTCAGGGAAGCTGAGTAAGACTTCAAAAGCATGCAGAGCCACAAAAATGAAAGGAAATAAAAATATTAGTGAGTATGCCAACATGAAGTCCAGGCTGATGAAATTCTTGGCAGTTGCATAGAAAATTGGCAAAAGAAGGGGAAAAAAGGCAGTAAGTTTGCAAAGGGTTTGAGAGTAGTTTGTGCCTGCTTAAGAAGATGGCAGCATCAATCACTTGTATATTATTTTGATTGCCAAGACCTCCCTTTTTATGATTCAAGCCCTTCTGTCTTCTTAAAAGGCAAGAGTAGGAAATGTGCCTTAAGTCTGCATAAAATGTGCACATTAACCTGGATTTATGTATATCTCAAAGACCCCTTCCCCCAACATACATTTTTGCTGTCTTGTTCCATTTCTATCCCCTCTTACCACCCATCTGTAACTTCTGCTCAAAGGATGAAAAGGTTATTGTGTTAGTCTAGTCTTACATTGCTATAAAGGAATACCTGAGACTGGATAATTAATAAAGAAAATTGGTTTATTTTGGCTTAAGTTTCTGTAGGCTGTAAAAGAAGTGTGGTGCCAGCATCTGCTTCTGGTGAGGCCTCAGGAAGCTTACAATCATGGTGGAAGGCAAAGGGGAGCCAGCCTGTCATATGGTGAGTGCAGGAGCAAGAGACAGAGAGGAGAGAGGTGCCATACTCTTAAACAGCCAGATCTCACATGAACCTAGAGCAAGAACTCACTCATCACCAAGGGGATGGTGCTAAGACATTCATGAGGGATCTCTCCTCATGAACCAATACCTTTCACTAGACCCCACATCCAACATTGGAAGTCACATTTCCACATGAGATTTGGAGAGGACAAACATCCAAACCATATCAACTATTATCCAGAGAAAGAAGTGGATTGACTGCTGCAAATCTCACTGTTTATCCTAAGAAAAGACAACTCACTGACTTCCTAGCTCTTGGTACCTTCAGCCTCTACTTAAGAATATAGGCTTTTGGGATATCTTTGGACTCAGGGTCCTCTCATATTCTCAGCTTCATTTGTTTGGGAGAAAATGCCCATACTTCATAGAGTCTAGAGACAGGAGAGTTTCTATAGATACAATAGATAAATGGAAGCTTGTGACCCATAGATTGTCTATTGCAGAATGGCAGTGATCAAAAACACTGCTGAATACTGGAGCAGCAACATCTCCAAATACCCAGTGCTTAACTGGGAAGCTCTAATGGTCTCCTAATTCTACTGACATGATTATAGGATTAGCTAGCTATTACATCTGCCATCAATAACGTGCTCCATTGGTGAAGGCCTTTGCCATAATTGTATACCACAATAAAGCCACTGTTTATAGATTCAAAAAATTGATGCTGGAGGGAGAAGAGGCTGATTCATCTCTCATACTTCCTGGCCTGCAGGAAGTTAATGCTTTTAGAGTTTCAGAATTCAGAGAGCAAGAATCCATCCCAGTTGCAAACAATACTTCAACTCCCATTGCCCATGCTGCCACACCCCTACCTATGTTGAAAGATTTAAGGTAAAGGAAGACTCCTGTGAATGAAGAAAGTGTTAACGTGAACTTGGATGCACATTTCTCTAGCAAAAAATATATATATTGTTGAGTCAGGGAGAGAAAAGTAATGTAGAATGTGAAAGATCAAGGTGACAATCACCAATAAAATACCTAGAGAAAGTTGACTTTCAATTTGACATTATCTTTTAAAATTGAGAATACGTATAGTCTTCTGAATACTGTCATCACTGAGCATCATCTGACAATTTTTCTCTCAAGGAGTCAATCCTCCATGATCCATTAAAATTCCAGGTCATGCTGCCAACTTTTACCTGTCATCAATCACTAAAGACTCTGACACAAACTACACTTTCAGTTAAGTCCAGAAAACTATCAAACAGTAAAAGAACTTTTGGAAGAATGAAATATCAGAGCTCAATTTTACGTCATATTCTGAATATTTTTTTCTGGCTAATTCAAAATGCTTGTATTCGGCAAAGACCTACTCAAAATTAGAAATACGTTAAATATGTCTTTTCTTATTTTCCATAGAAATGGAGAATCATTAGACTGAGCCTAAATTAGCCAAATAAACTAGAAAGAAAGCGAAGCTATTATTTCCCAGTAACACAACACTGAGGAGGAAACTGCAACAAAAATACTTTTGAGAAAAAATATATATATTGAGTTTCAATTTTTTTATAGATCATGTCCCATTTCAGCTTGCCTGTACAAATATCCAAAGGATTATATGGTGTTTTTTTTTTAAATGGATTTCTTTATGCTTAAGACTCATCATTTTCTAATAGGCAACCAAGGAATCTGACACTCCACCAGTAAAGCTGCCCAATCAGGCAGCTGTGAGGCTTAGCAACACACACACAAATGCCAACCCATCAAGTTGGCCAGACTGCTCAAGAGCCTAAAGGTGATTGAGCAAATCTGCACATAAAAATTAATCCTGAATGAAAGGGAGGAGGCTCAAAGATGGCCAAATAGGAACAGCTCCAGTCTAAAGCTCCCAGCGTGAGTGATGCAGAAGATGGGTGATTTCTGCATTTCCAACTGACGTATCAGGTTCATCTTGCTGGGGCTTGTTGGACAGTGGGTGCAGCCCACGGAGTGTGAGCCAAAGCAGAGCGGGGCATCGCCTCACCCTGGAAGCACAAGAGGTAGGGGAATTCCCTTTCCTAGCCGAGGGAAGTCATGACAGATGGTACCTGGAAAATCGGGACTCTCCCACCCTAATACTGTGCTTTTCCAACAGTCTTAGCAAACGACACAGCAGGATATTATATCCCGCACCTAGCTTGGAGGGTCCCACACCCATGGAGCCTTGCTCACTGCTAGCACAGCAGTCTGAGATTGAACTGCAAGGTGGCAGCGAGGCTGGGGGAGGGGCATCCATCATTGCTGAGGCTTGAGTAGGTAAACAAAGTGGCCAGGAAGCTCGATCTGGGTGGAGCCCACTGCAGCTAAAGGAGGCCTGCCCACCTCTGTAGACTCCACCTCTGGGGGAGGGCATAGCTGAACAAAAGGCAGCAGAAACCTCTGCAGACTTAAATGTCCCTGTCTAACAGCTTTGAAGAGAGTAGTGGTTCTCCCAGCACAGAGGTTGAGATCTGAGAATAGACAGACTGCCTCCTCAAGTGGGTCCCTGACCCCCGAGTAGCCTAACTGGGAGGTAGCTCCCAGTAGGGGCCGACTGACACCTCATACAGCCAGGTGCCCCTCTGAGATGAAACTTCCAGAGCAAGGATCCAGCAGCAACATATGCCATTCTGCAGCCTCCACTGGTGATACGCAGGCAAACAGGGTCTGGAGTGGACCTCCAGCAAACTCCAACAGACCTGCAGCTGAGGGTCCTGACTGTTAGAAGGAAAACTAATAAACAGAAAGGACATCCACACCAAAACCCCATCTGTACGTCACCATCATTAAAGACCAAAGGTAGATAAAACCACAAAGATGGGGAGAAACCAGAGCAGAAAAGCTGAAAATTCTAAAAATCAGAGCACCTCTTCTCCTCCAAAGGAACACAGCTTCTCAACAGCAATGGAACAAAGCTGGACAGACAATGACTTTGATGAGTTGAGAGAAGAAAGCTTCAGACGATCAATAATAACAAACTCCTCCGAGCTAAAGGAGGATGTTCAAACCCATTGCAAAGAAGTTAAAACCTTGAAAAAAGATTAGACAAATGGTTAATTAGAACAAACAGCATAGAGAAGACCTTAAATGACCTGATGGAGCTGAAAAGCACGGCACGAGAACTACATGACGCATACACAAGCTTCAGTAGCCAATTCGATCAAGTGGAAGAAAGGATATCAGTGATTGAAGATCAAATGAATGAAATGAAGTGAGAAGAGAAGTTTAGAGAAAAAAGAGTAAAAAGAAATGAACAAAGCCTCCAAGAAATACGGAAATATGTGAAAAGACCAAATCTACATCTGATTGGTGTACCTGAAAGTGATGGGGAGAATTGAACCAAGTTGGAAAACACTCTTCAGGATATTATCCAGGAAAACTTCCCCAATCTAGCAAGGCAGGCCAACATTCAAATTCAGGAAATACAGAGAATGCCACAAAGATACTCCTCGAGAAGAGCAACTCCGAGACACATAATTGTCAGATTCACCAAGGTTGAAATGAAGGAAAAAATGTTAAGGGCAGCCAGAGAGAAAGGTCGGGTTACTCACAAAGGGAAGTCCGTCAGACTAACAGCGGATCTCTCGGCAGAAACACTACAAGCCAGAAGAGAGTGAGGGCCAATATTCAACATTCTTAAAGAAAAGAATTTTCAACCCAGAATTTCATATCCAGTGAAACAAAGCTTCATAAATGAAGAAGAAACAAAACCCTTCACAGACAAGCAAATGCTGAGAGATTTTGTCACCACCAGGCCTGCTTTACAAGAGCTCCTGAAGGAAGCACTAAACATGGAAAGGAACAACCAGTACCACCCACCGCAAAAACATGCCAAATTGTAACAACCATCGATGCTAGGAAGAAACTGCATCAACTAATGAGCAAAATAACCAGCTAACATCATAAGGACAGGATCAAATTCACACATAATAATATTAACCTTAAAGGTAAATGGGCTAAATACTCCAATTAAAAGACACAGACTGACAAATTGGAAAAAGAGTCAAGACCCATCAGTGTGCTGTATTCAGGAGATACATCTTATGTACAGAGACACACATAGGCTCAAAATAAAGGGATGGAGGAAGATCTACCCAGAAAATGGAAAACAAAAAAAGGCAGGGGTTGCAATCCTAGTCTCTGATAAAACAGACTTTAAACCCACAAAGATCAACAGAGACAAAGATAACCATTACATAATGGTAAAGGAATCAATTCAACAAGAAGAGCTAACTATCCTAAATATATATGCACCCAATACAGGAGCACCCAGATTCATAAAGCAAGTCCTTAGAGACCTACAAAGAGACTTAGACTCCAAAACAATAATAACAGGAGAATTTAACGCCCCCTGCCAACGTTAGACAGATTGACGAGACAGAAAGTTAACAAGGATATCCAGGAATTGAACTCAGCTCTGCACCAAGCAGAACTAACAGACATCTACAGAACTCTCCACCTCAAATCAACAGAATATACCTTCTTCTCAGCACCACATCGCACTTATTCCAAAATTGACCAAATAGTTGGAAGTAAAGCACTCCTTAGCAAATGTAAAAGAACAGAAATTAAAGCAAACTGTCTCTCAGACCCCAGTGCAATCAAACTAGGCCTGAGGATTAAGAAACTCACTCAAAACCACTCAACTACATAGAAACTGAACAACCTATTCCTGAATAACTACTGGGAGCATAAGGAAATGAAGGCAGAAATAAAGATGCTCATGGAAACTAATGAGAACAAAGACACAACATACCAGAATTTCTGGGACATATTTAAAGCAGTGTGTAGAGGGAAATTTATAGCACTAAATGCCCACAAGAGAAAGCAGGAAAGATCTAAAATTGACAATGTAACATAACAATTAAAAGAACTAGAGAAGCAACAGCAAACACATTCAAAAGCTAGCAGAAGGCAAGAAATTACTATGATCAGAGCACAACTGAAGGAGATAGAGACACAAAAAAAACCCTTCAAAAAATCAATGAATCCAGGAGCTGGTTTTTTGAAAAGATCAACAAAATTGATAGACCGCTAGCAAGACTAATAAAGAAGAAAAGAGACAACAATCAAATAGACAATAAAAATGATAAAGGGGATATCACCACCAATCTCACAGAAATACAAACTACCATCAGAGAATACTATAAACACCTCTACACAAATAAACTAGAAAATCTAGAAGAAATTGATAAATTCCTGGACACATACACCCTCCCAAGACTAAACCAGGAAGAAGTTCAATCCCTGAATAGACCAATAACAGGCTCTGAAATTGAGGCAATAATTAGTAGCTTACCAACCAAAAAAAGACCAGGACCAGATGGATTCACAGCCAAATTCCAACAGAGGTACAAAGAGGAGCTGGTATCATTCCTTCTGAAACTATTCCAATCAATAGAAAAAGAGGGAATCCTCCCTAACTCATTTTATGAGGCCAGCATCATCCTGATACCAAAGCCTGGCAGAGCACAACAAAAAAAGAGAATTTTAGACCAATATCCCTGATGAACATCAATGCAAAAATCCTCAATAAAATACTGGCAAACCGAATCCAGCAGCACATCAAAAAGCTTATCCACCATGATCAAGTGGGCTTCATCCCTGGGATGCAAGGCTATTTCAACATATGCAAATCAATAAACGTAATCCAGCATATAAACAGAACCAAAGACAAAAACCACATGATTATCTCAATAGATGCAGAAAAGGCCTTCGACAAAATTCAACAACCCTTCATGCTAAAAACTCTCAATAAACTAGGTAGTGATGGGACATATCTCAAAATAATAAGAGCTATTTATGACAAACCCACAGCCAATATCATTCTGAATGGGCAAAAACTGGAAGCATTCCCTTTGAAAACTGGCACAAGACAGAGATGCCCTCTCTCACAACTCCTATTCAACATAGTGTTGGAAGTTCTGGCCAGGGCAATCAGGCAGGAGAAAGAAATAAAGGGTATTCAATTAGGAAAACAGGAAGTCAAATTGTCTCTGTCTGCAGATGACATGATTGTATATTTAGAAAACCCCACCATCTCAGCCCAAAATCTTCTTAAGCTGATAAGCAGCTTCAGCAAAGTCTCAGGATACAAAATCAATGTGCAAAAATCACAAGCATTCCTATACACCAATAACAGAGAAAACAGAGAGCCAAACCAAGAGTAAACTCCCATTCACAATTGCTTCAAAGAGAATAAAATACCTAAGAATCCAACTTACAAGGGATGTGAAGGACCTCTTCAAGGAGAACTACAAACCACTGCTCAATGAAATAAAAGAGGATACAAGCAAATGGAAGAACATTCCATTCTCATGGATAGGAAGAATCAATATAATGAAAATGGCCATACTGCCCAAGGTAATTTATAGATTCAATGCCATCCCCATCAACCTACCAATGGCTTTCTTCATAGAATTGGAAAAAACTACTTTAAAGTTCATATGGAACCAAAAAGAGCCCACATTGCCAAGACAATCCCAAGCCAAAAGAACAAAGCTGGAGGCATCACGCTACCTGACTTCAAATTATACTACAAGGCTACAGTAACCAAAACAGCATGGTACTGGTACCAAAACAGAGATATAGACCAATGGAACAGAACAGAGCCCTCAGAAATAATACCACACATCTACAACCATCTGATCTTTGACAAACCTGACAAAAACAAGCAATGGGGAAAGGATTCCCTATTTAATAAATGGTGCTGGGAAAACTGGCTAGACATATGTAGAATGCTGAAATTGGATCCCTTCCTTACGCCTTATACAAAAATTAATTCAAGATGAATCAAAGACTTAAATGTTAGACCTAAAACCATAAAAACCCTAGAAGAAATCCTAGGCAATACCATTCAGGACATAGGCATGGGCAAGGACTTCATGTCTAAAACACCAAAAGCAATGGCAACAAAAGGCAAAATTGACAAATGGGATTTAATTAAACTAAAGAGCTTCTGCACAGCAAAAGAAACTACCATCAGAGTGAACAGGCAACCTACAGAATGGGAGAAAATTTTTACAATCTACTCATCTGATAAAGGGCTAATATCCAGAATCTGCAAAGAACTTAAACAAATTTACAAGAAAAAAATCAAACAACCCCATCAAAAAGTGGGCGAAGGATGTGAACAGACACTTCTCAAAAGAAGACATTTATGCAGCCAAAAGACACATGAAAAAATGCTCATCATCACTGGCCATCAGAGAAATGCAAATCAAAACCACAATGAGATATCATCTCACACCAGTTAGAATGGCAATCATTAAAAAGTCAGGAAACAACAGGTGCTGGAGAGGATGTGGAGAAATGGGAAAACTTTTACACTGTTGGTGGGACTGTAAACTAGTTCAACCATTGTGGAAGACAGTGTGGCGATTCCTCAAGGATCTAGAACTAGAAATGCCATTTGACCCAGCCATCCCATTACTGGCTATATACCCAAAGGATTATAAATCATGCTGCTATAAAGACACATGCACACGTATGTTTATTGCGGCACTATTCACAATAGCAAAGACTTGGAACCAACCCAAATGTCCATCAATGATAGACTGGATTAAGAAAATGTGGCACATATACACCATGGAATACTATGCAGCCATAAAAAAGGATGAGTTCATGTCCTTTGTAGGGACATGGGTGAAACTGGAAACCATCATTCTGAGCAAACTATCACTAGGACCGAAAACCAAATACCGCATGTTCTCACTCATAGGTGGGAATTGAACAATGAGAACACTTGGACACAGGATGGGGAACATCACACACTGGGGCCTGTCGTGGGGTGGGGAGATGGGGGAGGGATAGCATCAGGAGATATACCTAATGTAAATGACGAGTTAATGGGTGCAGCACACCAACATGGCACATGTATACATATGTAACAAACCTGCATGTTGTGTACATGTACCCTAGAACTTAAAGTATAATAAAAAAATTCTAAAAAAATCAAAATGGGAAAATACATATATACAAGGATATGCAGTGAATATTTTCTTAAATAACAACAAAGTTAGAAACTTCCTTAATGCTAGAAAATAAGGGATTGTTATATAAAGTATGGAGCAATCATAAAATTGAATACAGTGCAGCCATTACAAATAATGATGCAGAGATATACCTATTAATGTAGAAAGAATTTTTTATTACTAAGTGAAAAAAGTTAGTTCCACTTGCTTAGGATGCTCATACTTTTGTTATGTGTGTGAGTGTTTATAGACACATTCACACAGAACACAACAGAAAAATGTATACAAAATTAATACAACCTTATGTACAAGGTAGAAAGAGTGGTTTTGTCCATTCAGACTGCTGTATCAAAGTACCAGAGACCGGGTGGCTAATAAACAGCAGGAATTTATTTTGGAAGCCCAAGATCAGGGTTCCAGAAGGATCAGATTCTTGGTGACGGTCCTCTTCTGAGTTGCATCCTGCCATCTTCTTGCTGTGTCCTCACATGGTGGAAGGAGAGAGAGAACGCACTCTGGACTCTGTTTTATAAGGACACTAATTCCATTCAGGAGGGCCTCACCCCCAAGACCTAATTACCTCCCAAAGTCTCCACTTTCTTAATACCATCACATTAGGGGTTATGATTTCAACACATAAATTTACTGGGTGGTGGGGAAGGGGGTGGGCACACAAATACTTAGTCCATAACATTCTGCCCCAACCCTCCAAAAATCATGTCCTTCTTGCATGCAAAATATATTTATCCCATCCCAGCAACTGCAAAAGTGTTCTAGCATCAACTCTAAAGTCTAAAATCCAATTTCCCACCCAAATCTCATCTAAATCAGATATGGGTGAAACTCAATGTATGACTTATTTTGAGGCAAAATTCCTCTCCAGCTGTGAGCTTGTGAAATTAAACAAGTTTTGTGCTTCCAAAATACAGTGGTGGGACAGGCATAGGCAAGACATTTCCATTCCAAAAGAGAGAAATAGGAAAGAAGGAAGGGGTGATGGGTTCCAAGCAAGTCCAAACCTAGCAAGGCAAATTGCATGAGATTTTAAAGCTTAAGACTAATCCTCTTTGGTGCCATACTCTGCTCTCCAACCCCTCTTGGGAAGAAGTTCTGCCTATCAGAGAGACTGGGGTGACAACATTAGGGGACACACTGCCCACACCCTGGCTCTTTGCAGCAGCCCTCCCCATGCCATTACTGTTTGTCACACTTAAAGCGTTCTGCACCTCTGCCCCCACAGCTCAGCTGGGTGTTGGTTCCTACCCTTTGAAATTGAGGTGGAAGCAGCCCTGCCCCCTGGCACAGGAATTACTTTTCCTTTTGCTATTCTGTATTTTCTAATTTTTCATCAATGCATACAAATTTCTCATGTAATGAAAATTTTAATATTTAAGACACATTAGAAATAACAAAAGGATAGCTAGTTTCCTCAGAAAAGTTCTAAGAAAGAATTCCTTTCATCAGTGAATGAAAAGTAAATGAATTCTTATCAGGAAAAACGTTTTCTTTTACTACTTCCCTGAAAAGCAGAAAGGTTTGGAAAACACTGATATGTCTGATGAGGATCGCTGACCACTTTCTGTCTTGTTCAGCCATTTATTAAATAGCCCACTTGATCCATTCAACCACTGATCCTACAGCAGTGGAGAGGTCATGCTGAGGCTGAAGGCTGTGTGGCTATGTTGTCTTCCGGGGCACCACTGATCAGTGGGTCAGAACTGTGTTGGACAAGCTTGTATCGAGTTGGCACATTCCAGGGAATGCTTCTCAGTGTGAATAATCTCAAAGTTTGCTTTGTTATGATACCCAAAAGTGATACAACCCTGGGAAAACTTCTACTTACTAGAATTTATCCCAAACTACAAGAGATGCAGACAACTAATTGGTTGATTTATAACGAGAAACCCAGCCAAGCAGAGCAGAACGCTGCAGTCATTAGAACAGTACATGCTTCCCCTTAGACACATTATATAACAGGGCAAGTGACAGGGTTAGACAAGAGTTTCAGAAAGCAAATTCTGACAGCTATGCAGGATAAATTAGAGCGGTGTCCATATGTCCCAGTTTGCCTGGGTCCTTGTTGATGCCTGCTTTCTAAATGTAATGTTTAATAATATCCTGTTCCACTCTCAAAAGTGTCCTGGTTTCGTTGACAAATTATATGTCATCCTAATTGGAGAAGACAGTAGTGGGACCTGGGAAATGAGTTGCTAGAAGACCATTAAAAAATCCACTGAAGAAACAATGAGAGCCTAAACCTATGCTGCAGAAGTGAAAATAGAAAGAAAGAGATGAATTGGTGTGAAGCAAAATCTAGGTGGTAGAACATCAGTGATTGCTCTTTGCGGAGGAATGCCCCTCTGACCAAGTTCAGAACCTCTGGTAGGGGATCAGCTTGCAACCAAAAACTAGTCAATGTGGGGATTCCAAAGCCCAGAGCATCCTGTGGGATCAGCTGAGGTCTTTGCTGTGACTCTATTTCAACTCAACTTCTCCACAGACCCGTCCTGCTTCCTTCACTCCTAAGAGATGTTGACTCCAAGAGCAATCCCCATTTAACCTTCTGCACACACATCTCTCTCTTAGAGTCTGCTTCCTGGGGAACCTGACCTACAACTGCCATCATGTTAGAACAAAAATAGGACATAATTTGGTCCCTTTTCATTATGAAAATGAATTATGATAGGTGTTTAAGAGTACCTGGTGACAGAAAATGTTCAGAAAATGTTAAGAACAATATATCATAATGTGTACATCATTTCCAGTGCTAGATTTGGCATCTGACTGCCAACCAGATGAGTCTGAGCAAGATAAACAATACAAAAGTAGAGGCGGCCACATTTATTTTCTCGTCTAATTCTGAAAAAAAATCATACCATATAGCTCCATCAAAATGATCCAAACTGAACAACACTTATGAACTGTAACTCCCAGTAAGTATATTTCTATTTGAGCACTAAAATACTCAAAATGCTATGTCCCACTGCCTCATCTTTGCAGTTTCAGGATAGGGTTTCAAATGCCACTGTCAGAAATACAAAGAGATGAGAATTGGTTTTACCTCAGTCATTCAAAAATGAATGCACTGCTATAAATGCCTGATACAAACTGCTCCACAAACTTAAAATGGAATTATAATCACATCACTTTTATTTATCCAATTAATCTCTGGAGCTCCACCCTCACTATCATCACCACTAACCACCTGACCCCACCTCCTTTACTCAGAGAAGAAAAACTTAGGGATACCCTCCTCTTCTTGAATTGAAACAAGTCTAGCTAAACTGCCTATCCCACCAAGGTGAAATGGGGACTCCAAGGAGTCCATGATGCTTTTGCTTCTCTCTCCCATGGGATCACTGATAGAAACAGATCTGAAATCATCCTGACAGAGGCTATCATGCAAATAAAAAATCAACAGTGTCAAAGCCTCATTCAATTCATTAATGAGTAAGCTGGTTACAAGGTCATCTGAGAAATGTGGGATGCTTGGGATTTGACATTTTGAATGTTAGAATAAGGCCCTAGGTTGGATACAAAACTGGTAATGTCCTAGAGCTGGGGTACCCAACACTGCCCCCCGACCTTGGCCACAGATGGATACTGATCCATGGCCTATTGGCCACCAGGCTGCACAGCAGGAGGTGAACAGTGAATGAGCCAGCATTACCACCTGAGCTCCACCTCCTGTCAGATCAGCGGCAGCATTAGATTCTCATAGGAGCATGAACCCTATTATGAACTGCACATGCAAGAGATCTAGACCGCATGCTCCTTAGGAGAATCTAACTCATACCTGATGATCTGAGGTGGCACTGTTTCATCCCAAAAACATTCCTCCTTCCCTTATCCACGGAAAAATTGTCTTCCACAAAACCAGTCTCTGGTGCCAAAAAGGTCGGGGATGGCTGTCCTACAGGGTATCATCACATAACCTCTAGGGTTACCTTTTCTACAAGACAAACCCATTTGAATCTGTACCAAACAAAACATATACCAATGAAAGTAAAATTTCACAGAATCTGGGCCTTAACTGGTAGAAGATTAGCAAATTAAAACAAAGTCTACTCCCCTAGATAATGAAGTAACCTTGGGTGGCCCTCCTAAGCAATGCTCTAACATAACATTGAAAGACCATGCTTTCCTCTCTTTAAATCCGAGTTTCAGACATTTGTCAATAGGTGTGTGGCTGACCCAGAGCCCTGCACAAACCGCACAGATTCACAGGCATGAAAATCCAGCCCCTTAGGGCTGACCTCAGTCCAGAGAACCCCATGCTCAGGATCCCAAATTCTTAACAGCTCATCTTTTCCTCTTTACATTCCCATCCCCATTCAGAGAACCAGCGCACCCAAGGAACATTGTGTCAGGATTAGTTCTAGCATCACATCTCATAAACCTGGAACCTTTGCCTTTTGATCCTCCCAAAAATTAATCCAAGGAAGCGAGTCGCTTTTCTTTTCAACTCAAAAGATCAGGCTACTCCATTTCCCTGGATAATAGAGCTATATGTGCTACATTGACTCCTGTTGGAAGCTTCCCATCAGTCAGGGTTAGTCACCTCTTCCCTTCTTGTGTGTGGGGTGGAGTGTGGCTGCCATTAGTGATTCCAAAATGATTTTCCTGGCACCCCTCCCACTAGAAAGAAAAGGGAAAAAACTAATCTCTTGAGGCATATGCTGCCCTCTGATTCTTCATTAGCATATAAGGGACCAAGAAAGAGAAATGCAAAGCCAAAGGAGAAAGGACTTCTGGGCCAGCAAGACTTACTTGTAACTGAAGTGATCAATACACACTACAAACTTCCTGAATTCACCAAACCTCCCTAATGCTGCTATGATGTGTCTGATACATGTTCATTTCTGGGTAACTACCCTCTAACATACATATGTTGAGTTTAAGTTTCTAGAAGTCAATTATGTTTTTTTCAAAATATTTAAATTAAGTGATTTAATTACTCAGTAAACCGATGAAATATGAGTGTTAAAAATAGTTGTTTCTATTGAATTTAAAGTTTTGGAAAAACTAAAAAAGTTGATTGGGATGAAAGTAAACTGCTATCAAATTAAGTGCAAATAAGAAAAGCCTGAAGCGAGGGGGAAATCACAAAAATCTGGGAAAACTCTGCCCTCAGATTGCTTTATAAGTCACCTTAAATGATTGTAACGCACACATCCCTGGAAGTCGTAAAGATTACATAATGGGTATAATTTATGAAATCCAAACTAAGAATCAATGAAAATGTGATATGGTGGTTCTATATCAAAAGATTAGTGGATGAATTTACATCGAAAACTATTAATTTTTAAAAATGTAAGTGTGTATGCATCATTTTAAACCATTTTTTAGTTTAGCCAATTCTGTTGTTTAATCCACCATCTTCTGCTTTTAATCTCTGCAGAGTAGAGGGGATAGAATGGGTCAAACCAAACAGGATCTTTAGTCACCTGTGGAAAAAGACAAGGAAGAGCATCAGAGCCCACCGTGAGCAGTGCTAGTCTGAGCAATGTCCAGGGGAAAACGTTTTATCATGGCTCAAAGATGTATCTGATGGGTCCTATGACCAAGGGTACCCTCACGTAGGAAATGGACACAACAGTCCGTTAAGCTTGATGCCATTTCATTTTGAAATCAAACAGCCAATCCTCCAGATTCTGATTTCACAACTGCAGGTAAACTGCTCATGTAGGCCTACAAGAATACTGTGCGCATGCTAACATAAATGTTCTGCTCAGTGAGGATTGTAATTCCCATTGTGGATTAATAAATTGTACATTAAACCCATGTAAGCTTTGCTACACTGAGTCAACATCACTGAGCCAAATCAACTCTGGTACACTGAGACCTCAGTTTTTGAAACTGAAATACTGTAAGCCAGTCTCTAGGACACTAGTGAATTTACCAAGGTAAATGTCATAGTGTGAATACCCATATGGGCAACCTGCTAGTCCTCTTGTTTTGATGTGCCGAGTATAACTGTGCCCTTTCCATTTAGAAACATCTGCATTATTCTTTCTCTCTGTGTACCTCTCTCTCTCTCTGTTTCTATCTCTCTCTCTCTCACACACACACACACACTCCAAATAGTTTCATCTAAATACATCTTTCTTCCTTAACCTAGATCACATTTAGTTTTGCCACTCCTAGGGTTTATTTCACACTGAGCTTTGTGTTGCACTCATAGCAACACTTATACAATCCCCCGATCCCCTGCATAATCATGAGCTACTCACAGGCACATCTAGGTTTCATACATCTTTCCCATCCCTCATTCCATTGAGCACCATAGCCTAAACATGAAGATCTGAATGCAGTGAAGTCGGTCCTAGAAATAGTTTATTTTTTTCTCCTCTATGCTTATAATTCCATGAATAATGGAAATTAGGAGAAAAGGAATATGAAATACATATTCATATATCTAATTTATAAACCTGGAGATTCTGGTATTCTTATTCCACATCCTAAAGACAAATGTGTTCTTTAATACTACAATTTTCAGTTTATTTTCCTCCCAATAACACCAAAATAGCTTAATTTCTTGTTTGGAAAAACAAAAGGTTTGATTTTTCCAACAATCTCCTATATCATTTCTGCCTAAATTGTGTCAGCATAACTTTCTCTGGCTAATAATACCATTTAACTTAGCAAAGACATAAAATTACTCACACCTAACACAGTGCCCTTAAGGTAGACTTTTGCTTATTTCTGCTTGGAAGAAATGGTCCAAAGGGACACTGACCCTTTAAAATCTGTGGCTATTAAAGAGTCCCCTATTGCAAGAGAACAGAGGGTCTTGGGTCACTTTTATGGGCCTAGCACTTCAGCTATTTATTGTAATGCAATTACCATACGAACTCAACCATTACAAGATGCCAGGTCTGCTTCTTATTAGAATTTTAAAATAGCAGAGAACTTTGGAAAACCTGAATCTTTTCAGGAAAGCAAAAATTCACAGGAAGCAATAATGCCTTCATTCTCCCTTCACCCTTCTTGCTGCTGTTTCCAGGTTGCAAGTCAATTATTTTGGCAAGGAAACTCAGCAGGAAACAATTTGACCTTCTAAGAACACCACTAGAATTATGTTATCAGCAGATTTCTTTCCCAGGACACCATCTTTGGTTTGTACAAACTACATACAATAAGCAGGTCTTTTCCAGAATCTTTCTTATGCTCAAACTGCAAACTGGATTGAACTCTACACCCTGTCCCATTCAGTAAATCTTCATGGGGATATATTGCAAGGTCAACAGCCAAAACTCTTTTGGTCCATCTAAGCCACCAAACCAGCCACAGAGAAAGGAAACCGACTAACTAGATGCAAGTTAACACTGAAGAGACTTAGACTGCAAATAAAATGTTGGGAGGTATGTACATTTTTCAGCTGATGGTATAACTCAAGAAGAAATAAACAAAGACCATGACCATAAAAACTTTTCACTGGTCTATCTTCCCATTTTTATCTATTCCTTCAACGTATACATTGTGTTTTGAGTTTTTAACATTTGTTGATATGCATATGCTTAAATTTAGAAAGCTAACTGAATTCTTAACATGTAATTCTCAATTATAAATGCTATTTGGTGGGAGTTTGGGGATTCTAAGTGTCTCCCTGAGGAAATGGCTCATTCCTGGGCTGAGTCACAGAAAGAACAAGATGAGCCTGGGGCATCTTTTCCTTGTGCCAGAAAATAAGAAAATAGTCAATGAATGATGGGAAAATGTCATGAAGGGGCTACCACCATTTAAACTGTAGAAAAATTGAGCATCAAATGAAGAATGAAAGTGTCAAATGACAACTCATTAAATAAAATAGAAATCTATGATTACATGATATTAAACCTTGCTTTACAATAAAATGGCAACTAAAAAATGTAGAAAAAGTGCTGAAAATGGAGAGTCATCATTTGGCAGTCATCATAGAAGCAAAAGGATATTGGCATAATCTTGGAATACCTCCCACAAAATTATAACTAAGCACAAAAGAAAAACTGGTGGAGAAACTTGACAGATGCCAACATAACCAGGTGATGAAGGTTCATGTCATTAGTGGTGGGATGCATCAAGAGAGTGCCCCCTGAGGTGATACCCTGAGAAGGGCATTATTTCTGTCATGTTCCTGCAAGAAAACATGACCTAAGAATGGTGGCAAGAAAACATCAGACAGCTGAGAGCACCCTTTGAAATGAAAGGGCTTCATACTTTAAACCCATCAAGAACACGGAAAAAAGAAACCCCAAGGAACTTTTTCAGACTGGAGGAGGCCTGAAAATCAAATGTCCTTTATGTGCCCTGATGGGATCCTAGACCAGAGAAGAAAAGAAGGTGGGGGAGAGACAGAGAGAGAGAGAGAGAAGAGGAGAGAGAGCGAGCAAGGTGGGGGAGGTGGGAGAGAGAGTGAGCTGGGTGAGGGACATGGGTGAGAAAAGAATCCAGTGCAATAGAGAAAATGCAATAAAATGTTATCAGTTGGGGAGTCTGATGATGGGGATATAGGAGTTCTTTGTAAAACTTCTGGCAAGTTTTCTGTGAGTTTGAAATTATTTCAAAATAAATTATTCTTAGAGAGAAAAGTACTTTTGCTACTGTGACATGCTAATCACTAAATATTATTTGCAAGCATACATATGATTGACAAGGAAAGAGAAGCAACCACCATCAACATCTCCCAGCTCTAATCCCAATATGCGCTCCATTGCATTTTATATTTTCCTAGTATATAGGTCAGTGGTTCATTAGCAGTTAACCTTCAACAGGTTGAGTAACTTAAAGGTTCCATACCAAGGAAGGAATTTAGCTGAAACCAGTTAGTAAGCTCACGACCTGTGAATTTTTAGCTCTAAAAATATCGCTGC
This sequence comes from Homo sapiens, assembly GCF_000001405.40. NCBI lineage: Eukaryota > Metazoa > Chordata > Mammalia > Primates > Hominidae > Homo > Homo sapiens. Next base: position 89,922,653 of record NC_000010.11, on the reverse strand, counting down.
ACTAGCATCCCTTGTTAAAAAAAGTAGCCCAATCTATAAATGGTTAAGAGGCTACTTCACACTCTTGTTATTTACTCCAGCAAGCTTTAGAGAGATTTCTATGCTGCAGCTAGTCTGATGCATTAAGTGCAAATTGGTGGCAGGGCCAGGACTAGAGTGAGGTGCTCAGGATGCAAAATTTAAGAAAACATTTGCTCTCAGGGTGCCCTATCCACCTCACTTCCATCCTGACCCAGACTCCCAGAGATTCTCATGCATTCAGGTATGGGCCTCAGGCATCCTTTCTGGTCATAATTACCCCAGATGATTTTGATAATCAGCCAGAGTTTGGGTCTATTTGTCCAGCCCAGTGGTTCTCAAGTGCAGTCGTAGACCAGCAGCAGTAGCATCACCTGAGAGCTTGTTAGACTTGCAAATTCTCAGCCCCATCCTAGACCTGCTGAATCCAAAACCCTGGAGAGTGGGACCAGAAATCTGTGTTAACAAGCCCTTCAGGTGACTCTGGTGCACATTAAAGTCTAAGAAACACTGATCTGGCCTAGATTTAGCATAAAAATATGCTGAAGCGCAGACAGGGTTGATCAAGGTAAGTTTGTTTGTGGTACACATAGGTAGAAGGAGAATGGAAGTCTTTTGAAAAGAGGTGAAGATAACCTCAACAAAGAGTTGAACAGAGCTTCTCAGAAAATTAGTTATTTCAATGGAGATCTGAAAAAAGCAGAGTGGATATTAAATTCTATGCCAAATAGCTTCTCATATTTAATAAAATTCAAAGGTAATTGGGTCAGTATATTCAACACATAGTTTTCCCTCGAGAGGAGCAAATTAATTCATTCCCCCTTTTTGTCCATAGATAGAATTATCTGCCAAAGACTTACAAGCTACTCAGTAGCAGCCAAGTCTAGATTACAGATGAATGCGTCATCCACCAGGTATTATTGATTCTTTCAATGACTCTTATAAACTGGAATCTTCTTCAATAGGACTAACCCTTCAGTGGAATGATACTGTGGAGAATTATCTGATTAACTGTGCTGCGATGGTTATGTAGGAATGCATTTATCAGCTAGCCCTTGTGTGTCACATCGGCTGGCTCAACCCTACCTGTTCTTCCAGCCACTGCTATATTGACTAGCCCTACATGCTTCGGTCATCTCTGCACAGGTATAACCTGAGAACACCTCGAGTCAGCAGTTTGGAAATGTAGGGAATTTGCTACCATAAACTACCTTTGGCCAAAGAAATATGGAACACAAATTCAGTTCACCTCTGGCCCCAAGACACCACTATAGGCTCATCATTTTATATTCATATGAAAATCTATTAAGCCCCACACAAATATGTTCAGAAAGCAAAAAAAACCCAATCAGAAGCATGGGAAGATCCAGGTTTTATGGAGTCTGCAGTTTATATAATTTGGAGAGTAGGGGCTTTTTAAAAACAAATGCAAAACTAAACAAATGTTTGTTTAAGATGACAAAATAAGTCACGACAAGTTACTGGCACTTTGGAGATCCAGGTGCCTTTCCCATGAGACCCTCTGGACAATCAGTCAGAAACGCTTACATTGAAGCTTCCTGGGGGAGCCTGACTTTCCCTCTCCCACTCTACAGCTCCCAGCACTCACAAGGGTCTAGGCAAGAGAAGAGCTCAGAAGCTCAAGCTTCATTAGCTTTATGGTCACTCTGCCTCTGCTTTGAAGACAATTCCAGCTGCAGCCTCTTGTACTATAATACAGAAGGAAGGCGTTATCTGCAGGTGGAAGGTATCCAGGCAAGGAAGGGCTGGAGACATTCCTGTGCAGGAGCAGGATAGGTCTCACATAGCACAGCAGACAAAAACCTGGGGATCTGTCACTGGTCTTCTACTACTAGGTGCTCTGGGAAATGTGCCTCCAACTTCACAGACGAGCAGTGATAGGAAACTGCTCCTTTTGCCTTGGCCCTCAGCAGAAATATTATGGTTTCCAAGGCAGGACACTTCTTCACTGTGCAGAACTACCTTATGCAAGGCAGGACATTTGCATCTCTGGACCCACTCAGTCACTGTAACTGAAAAAGCCCCCCACACTGCAAATGCCCAAGGTGTGTCAGTACTATCCACAATTTAGTACAGCTACTAAGAAGCTAAGGGCTCAAACAGCAAAAGCATAATGACCCTTGGAGTCAGCTTGAGATGTGGATTCAGTGTGATTTCCAGAGACTAAGCATCCCTGGAGTTCAGAAAAGCCTTTCTACTACTGCTTATTGATCGCTGTGACATAGTCCCAAATTCTTTTACCCCACTGTTATAAGTCAGGCCAAAATATAAATATGACTGAGAAAGGTAACACATTGACTTGACTTCTGTCATCTTCAAGTATAATCTCAGTGACTCACAAAATTTAATGTGCATAAGAACTAACTAGGAGCTTGTTAAGAAATGCCAATTCCTGAGTCTCACTCCCAGAGGTCAGTAGCTTCAGAATGAGACCTAGGAATTGACATTTTTCATAACAGCTCCAGGTTGTTCTGATGAAAGTTATTCCAGACCATATTTCAAGAACCATTACTTTGATGTTTTAATATAAATTAGTTTCAATAATAATTGTCAATAATTCTCATTTATTGAGCACATATGCACTCATAAAAGAGGTGCATGTTATTGCCACCAATTTGGAGCTGAAATTGAAATTTACATATGTCTGACTGTAAAGCACTGTCAACAATTATATTGCCTCAAATATTTTATTAATTTGGTAGGGGGGGGGGGTGGCAAAAAGAGAGAAATTTGCAGTAAGGGCAGAGAGGGACCTCAGAGAAGAGAAAGAAAATAAAAAGTGCCAGAAACAAATTTGGCTGACCTTAAACTCTTCTTACAATCAGCTTTATTTATCTCAAACTGAAAAAATAAACAGGAGCTATAAGCAGAGAAGATTTTATGACCTTTTTTGTTGAGCATAAATGCAACTTCAGGGCAACCTTGGGTTGTCGTAATTAGTTTCTTTGGATAGTTCAGGTAATTAAACCCCCTGGAGAGGGTCTATGGGATTTCAGGATGAAGTGAGGCATAATATAGAAAGTCCACTGCATGGTTTCGACAGTTTTTTGTTGCAGTTTTTTCCAACTGGGGAGTGAGGAAGAACGAAAACTGTCAGATTATGTCACAAGCAGAAATTCAATCATAATTTGCCCTTATCTTGTTTAGATCTCTTCTGAGGCATTAAAGCACTGTCCCTGCATTATTTTATAGCAGGATTAGAGTAATTCTCTGCATCTTAAAAATTGACCTCATCCATTGCCTTATAACAATTGAGTGGGAAAACACATTCCTTTCCTATTTGTAGACTTGGTTTGTATTAAAATGATTGCTAATATTTATTGAGCACTTATTATGTGCCAACTGTTCTTCCTAATAATTTATACATAATGCCTCCTTTAATCCTAACAACACTCAATGATTACTTTTTTTTTTTTCCCAGACAGAGTCTTGCTCTGTTGCCCAGGCTCGAGAGCAGTGACATGATTATCATGGCTCACTGCAGCCTCAACCTCCCCAGGCTGAGGTGATTCTCACATCTCAGCCTCCTGAGTAGCTGGGACTACAGGCACACACCATTGTGCCTGGCTAATTTTTTATTATTATTTTTTGTGAAGACAGGGGTTTCGCCATGTTACCCAGGCTGTCTTGAACTCCTGCGCTCAAGCGATCCACCTGCCTCGGCCTCCCAAAGTGCTGTGATTACCACCATGAGCCACTGCTTCTGGTATAGGCTTCCATTTTATAGAAGAGAAAACCAAGGCTCAAAGGAGTGAGTAATTTCCTAAGCTACACAGCTACCCACAGAAGTAAATTTAAAATCCCAACCTGGCTTTGTCCTACTCCAGAACCTGGTGGGGGCAGCTACTGCACAAGACCTCCCACCTAGAGGACCCTCTGGAAACAGCAATGAGAGCTGATGGGCTAGAAGCCTGCAACCTGGTATGGAGGTTGCAAATGCAGGTGTAGAATAGAACCTTGGGATCTGAGCCAAATATTCATCCTCCTAAAATTATCTGTACCTCAAAAGATGTCCTGATGTGCAAGCTCACAAAGGAGGATACCAGTGAGTTTTATGCTCTGTGCCATAACCCTCTACCACCAAGTAGTGAATAAGCAGGTTTCTGACTATACTAAAGGCCTATCTTCATTAGGACTCTTGGTTGCAGGAGACAAAATCCCACCTTGATGTAGCTTAGGCAGAACCAAAGGAATTTATTAAAAGAGCACTGATCTTTCTCACATCAGCAAACTGCAGCACAGGCGCAGAAATAACTGGGCCTTGGGAACTGTGAAAGCCAGAGAAATAGATGCCATTAAAATGCATACTCCCACTCTATTTCTCTCTCTCTCTCTCTCTCTCTCCTTTCCTCTCCTCTCTCCCTCTCTCTGGTTTTGGCTAGGTCTCTCTCTTCACATCCTCCTACTGCAGACCAGAGGAAGGCACATAGCCATTATCAGTGCCCAAGAATATATCTTGCAATGGCCACCACCAAGAGAGAATAATTCACATTTTTTCTTGACCCAATTCAAAAATTCCTAAGATGTCATCCAGTTGGCCCAAAATGGGCCAGGAATCTAACCCTGGATCAGTCAGCTGTAGCCAGTGTAGATACACAGCCACCGAAGGCCATCCCCTCGGTGTGGGCACTGTCCCAAGAAAGGAGAGAAACACTTGAATTGGGCAGTTACTCCTTTGTATTTTGCTACGAGGCTGATTGTAATTAATTATTTAACACCGAGCAGCTGATATTTAATTCTAATAAGTTTTATCATTACATGGTGGCCTCATTGATTATTAATAAACAAAAAATAATTAATAAAAACTGTAATGGTACACCAATACCAGGAAAGTGCCCTGGCTTCCTGTATAAATGTATGTTAGTGGGGCTTCTGCTCTGTCTAGTTCAAGTGAATAGAGATCCTTTTCTAGATGATCCTCATGAACAGAACTGCAGTGACATATGTGCTACCTGTATGTATTACTCTCACCTGAGCTAACTACACCTGGAGACTTTCTTCCCCCCTAAATGATGCAAATGATGGCTAGATTATGCTGTTAATAATTTAAAAATAAGATGAAAAATAATAATTGGGGAGGAAAGGGAATGTGACTGAGTGAGCTAGGTAATGACATCTATTTCCAAAATAAGAGATATCTGAACTAATAGTGTGGCCAAAGAAGGAATTAATGATAATTGTTAATGTTTATTCATCTTTCATGGATCACTTAGGCATCATATTATCCAAAAAGCTCTCCCTGACCCGCTAACTCTGGGTTGGGTTGGTTTCTCTTATTATCTTATATAGCACATATCTTACTATATTTTGGTTGCCTCTTGATCTGTCTGTATCCCTCACTGGCCTTTAGGTCCTGTGTTAGGGCCTTATATTGGCAAGGGCCACATACATACATTTCACCATTGTATACCTAGTGCTTAACACAATGCCTGGCACATAGAAAGCACTCAAAAAACATCTGTTAGGTTATAAGCTATATAAAGTTAATGTAAGTTAACTTCAGGGCTCAGCAAGGAACACCATACATTTAGTGGCACTGCTAATACCCATTTCCAAGCTCTCATTCTCCCAGGAAACCTTCCCCTATCCATAAAATTTATGGGGTAATTGAGCAAGAGTAAAGTGAGTATGCTGTGCACACACATATTATGGAATGTAGCAGATTTATAAGAATTCTACCTTAGAAGTCTTAGGAAGTCAAAGAAGGGAGATGTAATGTCTATAAATGTCTTTGGAGCCTCTGGTTAATTGGGCTTACGGTCCTCTCCTTTCAAACTGCCAAGTCAAGAGATGAATACATTCTAACCTTTTAGTTGATATGTCTTTTTTCTGCTTTGCCCTAGTGACCTCACAGTACTCAGAGGCACAACACTCTGGAGAGGATGTCCTAATGCAATAAAGAATTTTCAGAGAGCAAGTGACTGCTACAATTCCATGGGTAGAGAGGGCAAGAGAGGCTGCTTGTTAATGCCAAACAGGAAAGTCATCAAAATTCTTTCTCTTCTGCCCTCCAGGGAAACAGCCCACTGCTAACCACCAAGTTTTGCAAGATATTCTTTTGTTTCTTGAAAATTTATTATTCCCCCCATCAGCAGCTCTAGCTGAAGTAATCTCAATTCTCTTAACCTTTCTTTAGAAGGTCTATTTAATCCATTTTTATTGCTCTCCTCTGAGCACTCACTAAGTTTGTTAGACTTTATTCAATCTTGAATTGGACAAAGTACTTTAATAAGGGTTGCCTCCCACTGCTCCAGGAACAGGCAAAGGTAATGTCCTGATGGGGCACTGGCATAGGATATTGCATGTGGAAGCACTTTTGGAACTCTTAAGCAGCCCCCAAATGGAGCAGATGATGATTAGACTGCACATCTCAGACTGAGCTCCTCATTCCCAAAAAGAATGAAAAAGAAATGATTGTACCATTTATTCATGTGTACCTTCAACAAAAATGTATTGTGCAATCACTTTGTGCAAGATACTGTACTAGGCACTTAGGATATAATGATAAATAAGATATGGCCTCTATTCAGTAGAATATAAAGGCATTGGTATACCCCCCCCAAAAAAAATTTTTGATTGTAGACCCAGAAATATTCCAGATGTTTTTGCATATATCATGTCATTCAAGCTTGTCATATAACAAGCCCATTTGGAAGGTATTTTTATTCCTAGTACACAGAAGAAGAAACTGAAGCACACCTATCTAGAGTTGTGCTAAAGAAAAACAAACATAAATTTATTTAGCCAAATTGGAGTTTTACTGCTCTGCCTTATGTCTTCCTACCTGCTTGTAGGATGACACCTGTGCCTAAAGCATCTTCAAGCTACTTCCCACAGTGAAGGGCATCCCCAACCCACATTTCTCCACACTGTAGGGCAGGTCAGGGTTCCTCCCGCACCATCCACTGAAAAAAGTTCTGGAACAGCTAAATCTCTGCTTTCAACATTCTGCTAACACTGCTGATCTTCTTGCAGGTTAGGAAATCCAGTGCCCTAAAGAAATACAGACTTAGGCTAAAGAGCTGGATCTCTGGCTTACACAGATGTTCCTGAAACGTTGAGCATGTTGTCTAACCTCTCTGTGTCTCATTGTCCCCATTTGTAAAATTGAGACAATTGTACCTACTTCACTCTGCTGTTGTGATGATTAATTGAATGCTTCTTACAATGCCTGGGTGTTCAATGAATGTTAGTTGTCAGTAGCGGTGCTGCTGCTGCTGTTGTTATGACAGCACTACTAAATTAGACAAACCAAAGACATAGACAAACTCCAGCCATTTTTGGCATCATTCTCGAAAAGAGACTATGTCAAAGACTTTACCTATTTCCTCTAAGAATCTTGTCTGAATTGGAATAAATAGTCACCAGATTCTTGTGGTCCAAACATTCCCAAATATAAACTCACTGAATGTGGCCAAGACTGGCCAGCTATTTATCAAAGTGTTTCCTTCCTCCTGGGCACTTGGCTAGACTGTATTTCCCAGGTGCTCTTGCAGTTAGCTTCTTAGGTGTGACCATGTGCCTCAGCTCTCATCAGTACAAAGGGGTAGGAAGCAGTTTAGGCTTCTTGCAGGCCCAGAATGATCAAACCCTCCCAAAAGTAATTCTTCTGTCTCTGTATTAGTTATCTACTTCTGTATAACAAATCACCCTAAAACTTAGCAGCTTAAAACAACAAACATTTATTATCTTACACAATTTCTGATAGGAATCTGGGGGTGTTTTTCCTCAATGTTTTTGGCTCAGGGTTTCTCCTAAGGTTGCAGTCAAGCCATCAACTGGGGCTGCAGTTATTTGAAGGCTGATTGAAGTTAGAGGGTCCATTTCCAAGGTAGGATACTCACGTGGCTGTTGGCAGGAGGCCTCATTTCCTTGCTGGTAATTGGCAAAGACCTCAGTTCCTCATGATGTGGGCCTCTCCACATGGCTTCCTGAATCTTTTTGTGACATGGCAGCTGGCTTCCTCCAAAGTTAGCAACCTGAGACAAAGAAAGAGAGAGAGAGAGAGAGAGAGAGAGAAAGCAGGAAGCTTTTTAGGATCTAGTCTCCAAAGATTGTTCTTCCATTTTTTTTCTATTCAGTAGAGGCAAGTCGCTAAGTACATCCACACTAAAAGGGAAGGAAATAAGGTTCGATCTCCGCAAGTGCATATGAGGTATGCACACATAGAAAGGTCACAGATAATACGTGATCATTTTAAAACCATCATATTCTTCATCACCATCAGACAGGTAAATAGGGTGAACTACAAGGAATTATATAATATAATATGGGGAAGCATCGAGATGGAAGGAGCCCAGATTCTTGAGTGACCTCTTGGAGTAGTGTCTCCCATCCACATGAGACTCTGTTATGAGTAAGAAATAAATTTTGATTATGTTAAACCACTGAGTTTGGGGAAGTTTTGCTACAGCAATTAGTCTTCCCTGACTAATTCACTACATTACAAAGAATGGAGCATATTTGTTTTCCAGTCATATTTTGGTAAAAGCATTTCATAGTATGCAAATATTAGCCAATTACCGTATTTACAAAATTAATATGCGAGCAAGATTTTTTAATTCAATCATGTAGATTATACTTATTACCCTTCTTGCTATTATGAACCCAACCTTCCCTTTCTGTTTCACAAAGCACCAAAGGATAGAGTCCTCAACAGACACTTTTTTCACTCGCTCAGATGTTTGTTGAATGAAGGCGTAAATAAATGCTAATTTCGATGAGAGAAGAAGCTTTTGTAAGGGGAAGCAAAGAAGAGCCCTGTATGTAGAGGAGATATACCTAAACAAGAGAATGTAGTTTTGATAGGTACCATCAAGATAAAGTCACAGCAGAATGCGGCAAACTGCATTCTCTCTGCAGGCATACAGAGGTGCTGCAGTGCCCCAGGTCCTAAGGTCATACTGGTCTTCAGCTCTTCCCACCACGTCCAGTTTTTGCATTCTCACCCTCTGCCTTATTGAGTAATTTTCCCCAAATACTTCAGTTCAACTGACTTCAAAGCTCTATATGTTCCTTCCATGGGCCTTGGAATACAGAAAACATATTGGCTCCTAGAGTGACTCTGCCAATAAAGAGAAGACTTTCTTCTATCCAGCTGCCCTGCTCAGTTCTCTACCCTTTGAAGTGAGAGCTTGTAGAAATTTTGGTTGCTTCAAACTTGGATTTGCAACTTTAAAGCAGCAGCTTCCTTCATTTACTGATGTTTTGCAGACTTAAAAACCTGTCATTGATTTTTTTTGGAAGAAAACAGTACAGTTTTATCAAAGCATTTTTTAAGTGTGAAAAGAAAATAACATCATTATCCAACAGACAAATAAAAATGTATTCTCTACCATTCCAAGGTAAAAAGTCTTAATCTTTGTGATAGATTGTATTAATAGCAATACTACACACCCCTCTGTATCTATTCTCTTATCCTGTAGATCAGAGCCATCTATTATCAAAACATAATAAATGACTGCTTTTATTTTATTTTATTTTATTTTACTTTATCTTATTTTTTGAGATGGGGGTCTTGCTCTGTCACCCAGGCTGGAGTGCAGTGGCATGTTCACAGCTCACTGCAACCTTGACCTCTCGGGTTCAGGTGATCCTACCACCTCACCATCTTTAGTAGCCTGGACTACAGGCATGCACCACCAGCCCAGCTGATTTTTGTATTTTTTGTAGAGACAGGGTTTCCCCACGTTTCTCAGGCTGGTCTTGAACTCCCAGACTCAGGCAACCCACCTGCCTTGGTTGGCCTCCCAACATGCTAGGATTACAGACGTGAGCCACCGCGCCTGGCCTGATTGTTATTTTAGGCATTGAGTTTGGGGATAGTTTGTTATAGCAATAGTGAAGTGATACAGAAATTGGTGCTGGAAAGTGGATGCTGCTGTAACAAAAACTTAAATTATGAGACACTGGCTTTAGAACTAGATGGTGCATGAGGCTGAGAAAATGGCAAGAAAAGTGTTAAAGCTGGAAAAATGGTTAGAAAACTTACAGGAGGCTAGAGACATAGTAAGAAAACTTACAGGAGGCTTGTATTATATAGATGTGAAATATTTGGTTGAACTGTCATTTATGGTAACTTGGAAGATAGAAAATGTATCTAATAAACTTTTGAATTTGTCCAAGTAAATCTTCAGACAGAATATTGGAAGCATCAGCTTGTTTTTAGCTGTCTATGAGCAGAAGTTACTATAAAAGAGAGATAAACTCAAGCATGAACTAGCAAATTTGAAAACAGAACTGAGAGGGAACATGGCTCAGAAATGCAGGAAGCTGTTACTCAAAGTAAAATGCATTCTCATATTTAGACTTTTCAACCAGTAAAAGATTCTCAAATTAAGATAATTCCTGGGAACAAAGATTACGGGCACTGCAGTAAGACATGCCCTCAGAGTAAAGATTAAAGTAAGAGTTTGGTTGTACATCCCTTAAGACATCTGTAAGAAATAAGGCATTTTCTCAGCTGCACAGAAGGGCTTCCATAAAGCTAAGGGAGGATGATCCCCCAGCAACCAGTCATGACCTAAATAGGAGTAATTAAGTCTAGAGAGGTAAAACTAACCAAAAAAAAAAATTGTTCGTATGGCCTCTGTCACATAGTATGAATGAAAATGAAATATATAGAAAACCCACAAATGTCTAGAGAACTGTGTTGGTAGAAGCACTACCAGCCTGAACTCAAAGAGATAGACTGTGCTCAGGTTGTGAAAAGGTTTGTGAGTCCCCAGTTTTCTCTGAACAGGAAAAAGGCTAAACACTTGCATATTTCTACCTGCTTTCTTATCTTTCTACCATTATTACCATAAGAAGAACATTCTGGTCTAGTCCCCAGATCCAAGGAGAAAATGAGAGAGATCTTAGGCAGAGCCACCTTCCCCTTCCTTTGAGCCCAGTCTAGATCATATAACCAGTTGACCTAAAACCTACAAAAATAAAGATTATTTCTTTAGGTCACTGAGTTTTGGGGCAGTTTTGTTGCAGAGCAGTAACTACCTGATACAACCTTTAAAGCAGTGTTTCTCAAATTTTAGTGTGGATAAGAATGACCAGGCATGCTGTGGCCATGCCTGCTTGCAGGGCAGCCTTGAGTGTCCTGGGGACCTACATCATATTTCCTGCACTGGCAGACTGTGCCTGACTGGCAGAGAGCTCCAGCGAGGTGGCCCCCATGGTCATGCACAAATTTGCCTGCTCTCTCCCCACACTGCAGCTTCCTGCAGGGCCCACAGCAACCCCCACATCACCTTGCTGGCACATGTGTGCACAGGCAGGTTTTGTCTTCCTTGTCCTGTTAGTGCCCTTCCACTGCTGCAGTGGGAGTGCACGCCACCCATGTCCTCCCGCCAGACCACCATTGCAGTCAGAGCCTAGCTGAGCACAGAGAGAGCCAGCCCTACCTCCACCAGCACCTGCTCTAGCGCCAACACTGCTCCTGGAGTGAAAGTTGGCACAGAGAACAGCAGACTCTCCCCTTCCCTGAGTGACCATGCCTGTCTGCCACACACAGAGAGTACACACAGACCTGGCCTAGCAGCACCCTGTTCCTGGCTAATACCACCACCAGCATGACAGTTGTCAGCAGGGGCCCAAGTCCCCACCCCCAGCCATGCTACCGCCACCACTGTGGTGAACACCCACAGGGAGAGAGGTGCCCATGCACCCACTAGCAACATGCCACAGCTGAAGAACATGCACCCCACCATGCTGCCACTGCTGCTGCTGCTGCTGCTGCTGACACGTGGAAACAAGGACAGACCCACTGCCACCACACTACAAAATGCTTCGTTTGACACCACCCATAACAGTATAGTGACTAGTGGTCTGGGAGCACCTCTGCGCCCTCACAATGCAGTGGATTTCTAACCTCAAGTAGCCAGAGAACAAAGTCAGGGCCCAATAAAAACCCCCCAGAATTAGAGCATGCAGTCCAGGAGTTGGGAGCTGAGTGTTGGCCCCATAAAATTTTCCAGAAGTGAAGCCAGCTGTCTTAACCGCTCCATATGCCACAATCAAACACTCAAGGTCATCAAATAGTATAAAAGAAAAAAAAAATCCATTCAAAGGTCACTAACTTCAAAGACTGAAGAAACATCAGCCCACAAAGATGAGGAAGAACCAGTGCAAGAACTCTAACAATTCAAAAAACCAGAGTGCCTTCTTTCCTCCAAACCTCTGCACTATCTCTCCAGCAAGTGTTCTGAACCAGGCTGAGAAAGCTAAAATGACAGAAATAGAATTCAGGATACGGATAGGAATGAAGGCCATTGAGATGCAGGAGTACATTGAACCTAATCTAAGGAAGTTGAGAATCACAATAAAACGATATAGGAGCTGACATACAAAATAGCCAGTGTAGAAAAGAACTTAACTGACCTGACTGAGCTGAAAAACACACTGAAAGAATTTCATAATGCAATCACAAGTATTAACAGCAGACTAATCAAGCTGAGAAAAGAATCTCAAAGCTCAGACTGGTTTTCTGAAAAGAGACAAGCAGCCAAGAATAGAGAAAAAAGAATGAAAAGGAACAAACAAAACCTCCGAGGAATATGGGATTATGTAAAAAGATAAAATCTACGACTCATTGTTGTCCCTGAAAGAGATGAGACTGTAAGCAACTTGAAAAACATATTTCAGGATATTGTCCATGAGAACTTCCCCAATCTAGCTAGAGAGGCCAACGTTCAAATTGAGGAAATGCAGAGAACCTCAGTAAGATACCTCACAAGAAAATCATCCTCAAGACACATAATCATCAGATTCTCCAAGGTTGGAATGAATTTAAAAAATATTAAAGGCAGCCAGAGAAAAAGGTCATTTACCAAGGGAAGCCCATCAGGCAAACAGCAGACTTCTCAGCAGAAACACTACAAGCCAGAAGAGATTCACAGCCAATATTCAACATTCTTAAAGCAAAGGAATTCCAACCAAGAATTTTATATCCGGCCAAACTAAACTCCATAAGAAAATGAGAAATAAAATCCTTTTCAGACAAGCAAATGCTGAGGGACTTCATTACCACCAGACTTGCCTTACAAGAGCTCCTGAAGGAAGCCCTAAATATGGACAGAAAATACCATTATCAGCCACTATAAAAACACACTTAAATACACAGACCAGTGACACTATAAAGCAACCACCTAAACAAGTCTGCATAGTACCCAGCTGACATCATGATGATAGGATCAAATTCACATATATCACTACTAACCTTGAATGTAAATGGGCTAAGGGCCCCCAATTAAAAGACACAGAATGGCAAGCTGGATAAAGAACCAAAACCCATTGGTATACTGTCTTCAAGAGACTCGTCTCACATGCAATGACACCTATAGGCTCAAAATAAAGGAATGGAGAAAAATCTACCAAGCAAATGGAAAACAAAAAAGCAGGGGTTGCAATCATAATTTCAGACAAAACAGACTTTAAACCAACAAAGATCAAAAAAGACAAAGAAGGGCATTACATAATGGTAAAAGGTTGAATTCAACAAGAAGACCTAACTATGCTAAATATATATGCATGCAATGCAGGAGCACAAAGATTTATAAAGCAATTTCTTAGAGACCTTCAAAGAAACATAGATCCCAAAAAACTAATAGTGGAGGACTTCAATGTACCACTGACAGTATTAGACAGAGCATTGAGACAGAAAATTAACAATGATATTCAGGACCTGAACTCAGCACTGGATCAAATAGAACTCATAGTCAGCTACAGAGCTCTCCACCCAAAAACAATAGATTATACATTTTCCTCCTTACCATATGGCACATACTCTAACTAGAGAACCAAGAGCAAACCAACCCCAAAGCTAGCAGAAGACGAGAAATAATCAAAATCAGAGCTGAACTGAAGGAGATTGAGACACACACACACACAAAAAAAAAAATCAAAAGATCAACAAACCCAGGAGATGGTTTCTTTAAAAAACTAATAAAATAGATAGACCACTAGCTAGACTAATAAAGAAGAAAAGAGAGAAGATCCAAATAGACACAGTTAGAAATGACAAAGGGGATATTGCCACTGACTACACAGAAATACAAATAACCATCAGAGTCTATTATGAACACCTCTAAGCACACGAACTAGAAGATCTAGATGAAACTGATAAATTCCTAAACACGTACACTCTCCCAAGACTGAGCCAGAAAGAAATTGAATCCCAAAACAGGCCAATAATGGGCTCCAAAATTGAATCAGTAATAAATAACCTACCAATGCACCAAGATGTACAAAGAGATGGGACCATTCCTACTGAGACTACTCCAAAATATTGAGGAGTGGGGAACTCCTCCCTACTCATTCTATGAGGCCAGCATCATCCTGATACCAAAACCTGGCAGAGACACACACAAAAAGAAAACTTCATGCCAATACTCTTGAGAAAGGTAGATGCAAAAATCCTCAACAAAATACTGGCAAATCAAATGCGGCAGCACATCTAAAAATTTATCATAGTCAAATAGGCTTTATCCCTGGGATATAAGGTTGGTTCAACCTATGCAGGTCAATAAAGGTGAATCATCATTTAAATAAAACTAAAAACAAAAATCACATGATTATCTCAAAACATGCAGAGGCTTTTGATAAAATTCAACACCATTTCACATTAAAAACTCTCAATAAACTAGATATTGAAGGAACATACCTCAAAATAATAAAAGTCATCTCTGACAAACCCACAGCCAACATCATACTGAATGGGAAAAAGCTGGAAGCATTCCCTTTGAAAACTGGCACAATATGAGTATGCCCTTTCTCACAACTCCTATTCAACATAGTACTGGAAGTCCTGGCCAGAGAAATCAGGCAAGAGAAAGAAATAAAGGACATCCAAATAGGAAACAAGGAAATCAAACTGTCACTGTTTGCAGATGACATGATCCTATATTCAGGAAAACCCATCGTCTCAGCCCAACAGCTTCTAAGCTAATAACCTTCAGCAAAGTTTCAGAATACAAAATCAATGTGCAAAAATCGTTAGCATTCGTATATACCAACAACAGTCAAACTGAGAGCCAAATCAAGAATGCAATCTCATTCACAATTGCCACAAAAGAATGAAATACCTAGGAATACAGCTAACCAAGGAGGTGAAAGATCTCTACAATGAGAACTGCAAAACACTGTTCAAATAAATCAGAAATGACACAAACAAATGGAAAAATATTCCATGCTCATGGATAGGAAGAATCAATATTGTCAAAATGATCATACTGCCCAAAGCAACCTACAGATTCAATGCCATTCCTATCAAACTACCAATGATATTCTTCACAGAACTAGGAAAAGAAACTATTTTTAAATTCATGTGGAACCAAAAAGTGCCCAAATAGCCAAAGCAATCCTAAGCAAAAAGAACAAAGCTGGAAGCATCATGCTATGTGACTTTAAACTATACTACAGGATCACAGTAACCAAAGCAGCATGGTACTGGTACAAAAACAGACACATTGAGGAGTGTAACAGAATATAGAGCCCATAAATAAGGCCACACACCTATAACCATCTGATCTTTGACAAAGCTGACAAAAACAAGCAATGAGGAAAGTACTCCCTATTTGATAAAATGGTGCTGGGATAACAGGCTAGACATAGGCAGAAGATTGAAACTGGACCCCTTCCTTATGCCATATACAAAAATGAACTCAGGATGAATTGAAGACTTAAATGTAAAACACAAAACTATAAAAACCCTGGAAGACAACCTAGGCAATAACATTCTGGACACAGGAACGGGCAAAGATTTCATGATGAAGATGCTAAAAGCAGTCGCAACAAAAGCAAAAATTGACAAATGGGATCTAATTAAACTAAAGAGCTTCTGACATCAAAATAAACTATCAACAGAGTAAACAGGCAAACTACAGGATGGGAGAAAATTTTTTGCAAGCTATTCATCTGACGAAGGTATAATATCCAGCCTCTAAAGGGAACTTAAACAAATTTATAAGAAAAAAAATCCCATTAAAAAATGGGCAAAGGACATGAACTGACATTTTTTAAAAGAAGACATACATGTAGCTAACAAGCATGTGAAAAAAAGCTCAACATCACTAGTCATTAGAGAAATGCAAATCAAAACCACAATGAGATACCATCTCACACCAGTCCAAATAGCAAATAGCTATTATTAAAAGGTCAGAAAATAATAGGTACTGGCAAGGTTGCAGAGAAAAAGGAATGCTTATAACACTGTTGGTGGGAATGTAAATTTATTCAACCATTGTGGAAAACAGTGTGGCAATTCCTCAAAGAGCTAAAAATAGAGCTACCATTTTACCCAGGAATCCCATTACTGGGTATATACCCAAAGGAATATAAATCATTCTGTCATAAAGACGCATGCACACATATGTTCATTGCAGCACTATTCACAACAGCAAAGACATGTAATCAACCTAAATACCCATCAATGGTAGACTGGAAAAAGAAAATGTGGTATATATGCACCATAGAATACAATGCAACCATAAAAAAGAACAAGATCATGTTCTTTGCAGGGATATGTATGGAACTGGAGAACATTATCCTTAGCAAACTAACACAGGAACAGAAAACCAAATACTGCATGTTCTCACTTACAAGTGGGAGCTAAATTATGAGAACACATGGACACATAGAGGGGAACAGCAGATACTGGGACCTATCAGAGGGTGGAGGGTAGGATGAAGGAGAGAATTAGGAAAAATAACTAATAGATACTAGGTTTAATCCCTGGGTGATGAAATCTGTACAACAAACCCTTATGACACAAGTTTACCTATATTACAAACCTGCACATGTACCTCTGAACTTAAAATAAACTTAAAAAAAAAAAGAATTACTAAGCATGCTTTCCTGGGTCAGGTTTTCTAGAGACATACCCTGAAACAAGGATTTACATGCAAGTAATTTATTAAAGAAATACTTCTAGGATGAACTAGTAAAGGAGTGGAAAAATAGGATATGGAAGAGGAAAAAAATTAAGTGTAGTAGATGCTGTTAGTGGCTGTATCACTCAGGGTTCTTCAACAGGAACAG
This sequence comes from Homo sapiens, assembly GCF_000001405.40. Taxonomy (NCBI): domain Eukaryota; kingdom Metazoa; phylum Chordata; class Mammalia; order Primates; family Hominidae; genus Homo; species Homo sapiens. The sequence continues at coordinate 89,905,586 of NC_000010.11, read as the reverse complement.
AACCAACAGGGTGTGGTGTGTGTGTGTGTGTATATGTGTGTGTGTGTGTGTGTGTGTGTGTGTGTGTGTGTGTGTGTGTGTATACACAAAGAGTGAGAGAGGGATTAGTTTTAAGGAATTCGCTCACGAGATTGTTGGCCTAGCAAATCCAAAATTCTTAGGGCATGCTAGCAGGCTAAAGACCCAGAGAAGAGCTGATGTTTCCATCTCAAGTCTGAAGACAGTCCAGAGGCAGAATTCCTTCTTCCTCAGAAGACCTTGGTATTTTCACTTAAGGCCTTCAACTGACTGGATGAGGCTGATTCACATTGTGAAGGATAATCTGCTTTATTCAAAGTTCACTGATTAATCACAACTAAAAACTACCTTTGCAGCAACATCACTGCAAAGACTGGTGTTTGACCAAATATCTGGGCATCATAGCCTAGCCAACTTGACAGATAAAATTAACCCACAGTGGCCCACTCAGTTCTGCTTCACAAGCCAGCTGCTGTGAGTGTGTTTGAGTGTTAGCTGCCCTCAATCTAATGGAAGCAATCTCACCTAAGAAGATATGCCTCACTCCGCAGCCCAGGCCTGTCCCCCAACTAACAATGAGCAATGACTGACTGAGCCGAGACCAACTCTATGGGGTTATTCATCCTCCCGAGTTCTATCATAGAGCCAGGCTGACGCAAGTCTCCAATCAAAACCACATCCTGAGAGAACTCCCTCAACAAATCACTTGAACAAAAATCTCAGCATTAGCCTTTGTCTCTAAGAAATCTGACAAGCAAGGATATGATTTGGGCAAAGTGGCATAGGAGTATCTTCAGCCTGATCCTTTAGGAATATCTAGAGTATAAGTTATGCCTCAGATATTTTCTCCTATTTAAGGTGAGGGCTTTCAAACTTCAGCACCAGTTAGTGTTGGCCAAAAGGGAGATGGGAAGCTGATAAACTCCCAGACATTCCTCCCAACCTTGACCCTCATGCTGAAGACAAGTGACAGGTAGAGTCCATTGTAAAAGCATATCAAAAAGTCAGGGGTCAGACACAGAAGCAGTTAATAGGATTCGTGAGGATCTGGATGGAGCACTGACAGTTTCTGTTACACAGGCTTACTTAAAATGCGGATTCCTAAGCTGTGTTTCCAAGATTCTGAGTTAGGATTTCTGAGACAGAGACAGAAATCCCCACTATCATAAGAGTCCCAAGATATTCTGATATAAGTGTTCCCCATATTTGAGAAATTATTGCTTTTAGATTAGGGCAAATGGTTTGTAATGTCCAATTGTCAGCCACAAAGCCAGGTGATTAAAGTACAGCAAAGATACAGAAATAGGAACCATTTTTTGAAATTCTCACCTAAGTCTTCTATAATCCTAATTTATCACAGCTGGTGATTGCATTTATTGATAGATGGCTAAGTATAGTAAGCTGTTTCCAACCCAGTAATCATCACTGGTCAGCATCCAAACCAGATGATAAAATAACTTTTTTGGTATATAAAAAGCTAAACTAAGGCTATATGAAGGCTTTGTCTCCAGCATCTGGAAAATAGATGCCAGATTTTTATATGAATCTCTTCTTTCCAAGAGGCTCTGTTCTTACATTAAAATAAGATGACAAAATGGTGGAACTGTGTTGCACTTGAATTTTTTCCATAAGCAATTACTGCTATATGTGTCAAATATGAGTGGTCTCCCTGCATAATGGTTCCTCTTCCTGCATAAGAAGTGGAGGACTCTCTATTTATATTCACAATGAGGAGCTAAAGAGAAAATGAAGGAAATAATATGTGAAAGAAAACACTCAATGATTCATTCATTGCTTCATTCAGTGCACATATATTGAGTGCCTGCCTTTTATTAGGCACTACACTGGGGCTGAAGATAAAGTCATAGAGAAAAGAGACATGGTCTCTGTTCTCACAGAGCAGTGTGAGAAACAGTTTAGAAGTAAGGCAGTTATGTAGCAATGCCACCACTTCTGCAGTCAGAGTGCAGAGTGCTGCAGGGGTACCTAGGAGCCCTACCACGCAGGGAAGGCTTCTTGGAGGAGACCTCTAAGCTGAAACCTCAAATAACCAAGAAGGTGATGACAACAAGAAGCCTGAGGAGACACTAGTGCGTGGAAGAAAATGACCAAGAAGATGATGATGAGAGGAGACTGGAGCAATAAGGCCTTACAATAGTCTGAGGCAGTTTCTTCACAGGTACACAGGAAGAATTGTCACTTATCAGAGAAGTGGTTATTTTTACCTCCTATAACAAGAAGAGTAGTTCTTGAAAGCTCCAAGAAGCCTGTTTCTTGGCCTGCAGTAAAAAGCACTCAGTCTTCAATGTCAACTTCCTTGGCATAACAGAGATTTGATTCTCATAAGCCTGACATGTCCTCCTAGTAGCAGACCCATCTATGGAGAATATGGAGGCCATGACAGTTACCTTCTCCCTGCTTCTACTGACATGTGGAGACTGCGAATTCTGCCATAGAGGCCTAGAAAACATCTCCCAGGACTATGAAGTCCATGGAGGGAAGCTGGAGGACTTGCAAGCTTAAGTGGGACTTCATATATTTCAACATCATTAGAGTTGAGAGTTGTAATTTGGATGAGAAAGGAAAAAGTGGGAAGTGAACAAATGGCTACAAGATGTGCTGTAAAATCAATTTCCATTTTCAGGACCTGATGATAGAATAATGGGCTATAAGCTAAGGCCATAATGCATGTCACAAAGAGAGGGAGAAGACATGTTTTCCCAGAGAGTTGCCAATAGGATGACCAGTGACTGAAACTCAAAGTTAAGTATTATAGAAGAGAAATACATGCCCAAATATAATGGGACATTCTACACATTACATAGGAAATCAAAGAAAGAATAATTGAGGGAATAGTACTCAGTATCTCAACAGGAGAAAATAAGCAGGATGGGATTTAGGGATAAGTTTAGGCCACGGTGTGTTGGTAAATGTTTAACAACCAGTCATTTGAGGGAGGGGAAAAAAAATATATATATATATATATGTGTGTGTGTGTGTGTGTGTGTATGTATATATGTGTGTGTGTGTATATATATACACATGTATATATATGTATATGTATATACATGTATATGTATGTATAGATATGTACATATGTATATATATACACACATGTACACACATATATATACACACACACATATATACATACACACAAAATTGTATTGATAAAAGCTTATTACAAATTTTACTGATATAAAGAATTATAACTCAAAATTTACAAATAATAATAAAATACACCACTCTCTTTATTGTAAATTTCATGTAGAAATTGATTCTCACAGAATGCTTTTGCCGATTTTTGCTGAATCTTGTATCTGTATTCAACCTATGGTTGCAAACAATGAATGAGCTTATTTATGACATGAATTTTGGTTGATACTTTCATTCATGTTAACAAGTAAGGACAAAAGCAAAACAGCAGGGACCTATGTTGGAACTTTGTTTATCTGTCAATGATGTGAATGATTTATTTGCTGAATTGGCAAACAGTTTTCAAATACTGCAAAAATATTTTCTTAATGTTATATGCTATTCACAGTGTAATGGCTATAGACACAACATACTATTGTGTCTATTTGTATTATTTACATTTGCTTCATCACTTTCTTAAGTCTAGACAGTCAACAACAAAAAAATCCAGATCTGACTTATAGCATTTGCTGATTTTCCTGGTATAAATATTCCCACCAAGACCAATTTCAAGCTGCCAAGTTGACTTAATGAACACAGCATTGAGAAGGAAAGCATGGCAGTAGCATACCATTATACAGTATTTCTATCTTATAGGAACAATAGACATAACCTTAAGAGTAAAGATACTCTATGATACAGTACAGTGAAATACTTGGACAATCATGAGTTTTACAAATTTATTATTATCTTTTAGCGAATACACTTTCTTTAGCTAAATATTTAGTAATTATCTTTCAGTAATTTATTCTACAGTCTTTCCCAATATTAGTCTCAAGGACACCAGTCTGTGGTGTGCAGACTTCATTCTCCTTTTTCCTTTGTGAAAGAATCAAGTTTGCCCAGAAATTTGCTCCACTATTTTGAAATCTATTCCATTTTCTGTAATTTCTCAAAAATTAGAAACATTGAGTTATATCAAAATTCTAGATTATAAAACAAAACTTGGTGAACAAATTCAACCATACACTATAGCCTAAAATAAACAGGACACATCCTACTGCTTCTTATTCTTTTAGAAAAGGTGATAGATAGATATTAATAGATACAGAGATATATAGATATAGATATGATTTTAGTTTTAAGCTTCAATCCCCAAAATTCTAAATATGTGCAAGTAAAGAAGCTTCCATGTAATTCACAGTTGAAATAACATCTGAAAGTAAATTTTCAACCACGGTTTTTTCAAGGAAAAACCCAACAGGAAGGCTGCTACGGCTTGAATCTTTCCTCCAAACCTCAGGTTGAAATTTAATTGCCATTGTAACACTGTTGAGAGGTGGGGCCTTTAAGAGGTCAATAGATTAATGCCATTGTATGGCAGTATGTTTGTCATCTTAGGAGTAGCTTTCTAAGGTAGTGTGTTTGTTATCTTAGGAGTAGTAACCTGCTAAAAATACTCCTAAGATAACAAACAAAATAAAAAGGATAAAAATGATGATTTTGGCCCCTCCCTCTCTTTCTTTCTGTCTTATGTAGTCACTTGCCTTTCTGCCATATTATAATGGAGCAAGAAAGCCCTCAGCAGATTCCAGCACCACACTCTTGGACATCCCAGCCTCTAGACTCATACACAGAGTAAATGTCTGTTCTTCATAAATTAATCATTCTGCGGTATCCTGTTATAGCAATAGAAAACTGACTAATACAAATACATACCTTTGCTCAATGCAAGACTGAAACAGAAATAAATACCTCACCTTTTTAAATGATAGCATTCATGGTAATTAGTATTCATATATTTTGCTAGCACTACAATCAATTAGGTTCAATCAACAGTTTTTGAAATGAAAAGGATCCATTCTGCATTAATAGCTAGGTCATTTTACAGCCACATGAGCAATACACTTCAGCAATTATTCTGTACGTGATATTCACTTACTCTCTAGAAAGAAAATAAGTTACTTTCATTCTCCTCAGTGGCTGAAAGCTTAAAATAAACATAAACAGAAATTAAAATAACCAATATTTCTTCTCAAAATAAGTAAATAAAATACTAATAAACATTAACAAATGAACACACACAAAAATGGAGAGTAAAATTAATCCCATGTTTCTCAGTAAATGATTCACTGAATGTGAGGAAACTCTCACAGATTGACTTCTATTCAAGCTATTCTAAGGCTTTCACATCATTGGCAGTGGATGTTTTCTTGGACTTGGTGGACACATTACACACTATAAATGAGAGAAAATAATGTGGAGGAGGTTGATCACTGGACCAGGAGGCCAAAGACTGTCATTCCCCCTATCAGTCCAATGATCTCTGTTCATTCCTACACCATGCCAGGCACTCTGCCAGGCAGCAAGAATTAAAAGGTGAATAAGATATGATCCCTGTTGATGGGGTGGTTATAGTTGAGTATATTGACTAATTTGAGTTTTAAAAACTGGCTAGAATACAGGATACAATTTGATAATTACAATAGAAATACATGGGGAAGGAAGAATCAAGGTTAACTTCAGAGGAGATGGCCATAAGGGATGAGTGATCATTTTCTCATGAGAGGATGAAGGGAAGACACTGCAGGCAGGGGAAAAAAAGAAAAAAGACACAATCCCAGGGAATTTCTGGAAAAGAGAGTGTTAGCAGTGGAGTGGACACGGAATGTTCTCTGATTCCTCACTCTATGCTGATCACAACATGGTGCCTGGTCCACAGTGGGTGCTCAACAAATATTTGCTGAATGAATGAGTCCGAATTAGAGGAAGCCTAAAGGGTACAAGAGAATAAATAGAAAATAATAGAGACTTCTGCATCAAGCCAAGGAATGTGGACATTGTTCTATAAGCAGTGGGAAGCCAGCAAATGTTTTCAAACAGAGAAGTTTGTTTTCATCCATAAAATAAGCATAAGGTTTTTTGTTTGTTTGTTTTGGAGTTTGTTTGTTTTTTCCAAGATGGTGTATTGGAGGCATGGTTAGCACACCTCTTCCACTTGGAAAGACAAAATTATGTGTAGAGATTCATGCTGTAAACTTTTTTTCCAAAAAGCAACACAGGAACTTAACAGGAAAACTGAAAACAACCACAGACCCTTTGAAGGAAACAGTGGGCTGCAGCCTACACTGTGAGCCAGGAAGAAAACCATAAGTCCCTAGAGTGTGAGCAGGCAGAAACTGCCTGTACACTCCCACTGGGGAACCTGGCAATCCAGGCCACGGGGGAAGGCCTTAACCCTACCCAGCACTAGAGCTGAGTTAGTGAGTGAGGGAAGTATATGAGAAGGAACAATATCGGGAGGTGCTTTGCATGCACACCCAGACTCCAGTGGGAATAGAGGGAAACCATTTCTCATCCTACATCGCAGGAGACTTCATAGAAGTCTTCCAGCTAACTCAGGTGGTGGTCACAGGTTGAGAGAAGCTCCCAACTGAGATTGGCAATATAATCTCAAGTGAAGATGAAGCCCTTTGGCTAGGGCCAAGGGGTAAATGGGAAGTATGCTGTATGCATGAGCATAGGAGCTGGATGCCCCACCTTCACAGATGGACCAGTAGGGATGTGGCCTGAAGGGCAGGGTTTCTGTCTCACTGAGGAAGGCTTAAGGCCTGGGGCAGTTTTGAGTTCTGAGTGCAGACTCCCTGGAACCGAGCTAGCTGCTGCTAGTGGAACACTGCATGTATGAGACCTGCTTTGCCAAGTGTGTGGGAGCTGGGTAGGGCTCACTGCTGCCTGCTGCTCCCCACTCCCATGTGGACTCTTCTGTGCAGCAGAGACGGCTGCACTCCTCCCTGGAACATTACTTCAGTGGTCAGAAAACTGTCATCCAATCCCCACTGGAGCTGCTGCTTGTGCCCAGAGGCCAAGCTTGATGTGGACTTGCCTAACCCAGCCCCCACCTAACTTTGCCCCTCTACCCACCCTGGTAGTTTAATGCAAAAGACAGGTATTTTGGGGAGATCTATGGCCCCACCCATTGTTTGAGACACCAGAGCACCTCCCCTGAGTAATAAGACAAGCACAAATCCTACCACTACCATCACGGCTGGTGCTCTTTTGCAAACACAACCTCCTGGCTAGAAGACAAGTAACACGGTCCATGACAACACCTGCAGGCATAACAACAGCATCCAGGAAGGAGAAAACTTCTGTATGATCTCAGCTATTACCATTTCCTATGTTACCCTGGCTAACCAGGAGGTCCTGAGTCTGTCCCCATGACCAGTTCATCACCACTACAATTGGCATTTGAGAAAGCCAACACAGAAAGGATATTTATAACCAAAGAAATCTCACAGAGTCTATCATTCCCCTGCCACTCCCATCAGAAGTGGTACTGGAACCCATTGCTGAAATACTAGAGGATAGGTCACATCACTGGATTCCTTGCAGCCATTCCCCAGCACCAGCCTGGAGTGTGGCAGCCCCACTGGGTGGCTAGACCCAGAGGAGCAGCAGGATTCACAGTAGTCTGGCCCTTAGGGACTCCTACTGTTAGGGGTAGGGAGAGTTCACCGCATCAAGGAAGCACCCTGTGGAACAAAAGATGTGGGACAATCCAGATGACAGGCCTTGAGTCCCAGAACTTTATGCTTGTAAGAAGTTTACTTCAGCAGAGGCACAAGTGCAGAGCTGAGCTCAGTGGGAAAAGTCTGCAGCTCTATCCTAACAGGAAGACAGCACTGGTGCTCATGAAGGGTCTTGCAGAACAAGAGTTTTTCTCCTCTTGCCCACCGCTGTAGACACAGCTTGGGCTTCTCTCATGGGAGCTGGGTGCGAGTACCCCTGTAGACAGCCTTTCTGGAATGCTTCAGGGTGACTGCATCCCCACAGGAGTGCCCTCCAGGTTCAGGTTTGCACAAGAGGTAGTGTCACAATCCCTCTCTACATGGAAAATCAGCATTCCTGCAGATGAAAAGAAGTGCCTGTCTGATCTGAATAGCTAGAACACTGTGGGTCAGGAGTGTGACTGAAAGATAGCTTGCTTTCCTGCTGGCCTGGCAGGGGAGCTGAGGTGGCTCCTTCCCTTCCCACTGAAAAGATCTCAGTGCATTTCACTGAGAGCTCCCCCAGCCTCCTCTGTCAAGGCTGCCACCCTTGCCCACCATTGAGCATTACATTTACCTACGTGCGTTAGCCACAGCTGGTTTATACCCACGGATACGTCCTACTGGCCTGAAGCCTAAACTGCTCAACCCAGTGAATAAAATACTTGGAAAAAATAAATAAATAAATGAATACACACCACTGGGGAATGAGAAAAGCTCCATGAGACCTCTGCCATTCAAGCCCCACAGGAGACAATGAACCTGCTTACACACCAAGCACATCACTACTACAGTCAACATCTGAGAAAGGCGTCATACAAAAACTGCCTGTAGCCAAGGAACTCATATGAAGTCTTCACCTCTAAAAGCACTCAGAGCTGAATTAGGTTACAATCCACTATAAACGTTAAAGTCACATCGTCAAGAGGAAAAAAAGAAATAAAAACCTCCACCATGGAATAAAAAATAAATTTAAAAATAATTAGAAGAAATAGTCTATCTAAATGAAAATAAACCAGAAAAATATGGTTCTATTACATCCCCAAAATATCACACCAGCTCTCCAGCAATGGATCTAAACCAAGATAAAATCTTTGAAACACCAGAGAAAGAATTCAAAGGGTTGATTATTAAGTTACTCAGGGAGATGAAAGAGAAAGGCGAAAACCAACATAAAGATATTAAGAAAACAATTCAGAATATGAATGAAAAATTTTCTAAAGCGATAGAGATTTAAAGAAAAAACAGTTAGAACTTTTAGAAATGAAAGACACATTTAGGGAATTGCAAAATGCAGTGGAAAGTTTTAACAATAGACTAGACCAAGTAGGAAGAAAGAATTTCAGAGCTGGAAATTTCAAAACAAGGGTTTTGAAATAATGCAATAAGACAAAAATAAAAAAGAATTTTAAAAAATGAACAAAGTCTCTAAGAAATATGGGATTATGTAAAATGGACAAACCTTGGTGCTCCTGAAAGAGAAGAAAAAGCAAAATGTTTGAAAAACTTATTTAGGGGAATAATTGAGGAAAATTGCTCTACCCTTGCTAGAAGTTTAGACATCCAAAAACAGCAAACTGAAAAAAATCCTAAGAGATTCATTGCAAAAAAAGACATCACCAAGGCATCTAGTCATCAGGCTATCTAAATTCAACATGAAGGAAAGAATTCTAAGAATAGAGAGACAAAAACAGGTAAGTTATAGAAGAAAACCTATCAGACTAACGGCAAACTTCCCAGCAGAAACCTTACAAGCTACAAGGAATTGGGTTTCTATCTTTGGCCTCCTTAAACAGAATAACTTCTCAGCCAGGAATTTTGCGTCCAGCAAAAGTAAGATTTATAAATGAAGGACAAATAAAGCCTATTTCAGACAAGCAAATACTAAGGGAATTTGGCACTACCAGACTAGTCCTATAAGAAATGCTAAAAGGAGTTCTAAATCTTGAAACAAAGGTCGGTATGCACCAGAATAGAACTTCTTGAAAGCACAAAACTCACAGGACCTATAAAACAGTACCATAATGAAGAAAACAAAGTAACTAGGTAACAATCAACATGATGACTGGAACAATACCACATGTCTCAATATTAATGTTGAATATAAATGAACCAAATGCTCCACTTAAAAGATGCAGATTGGCAGAATGGATTTAAAAAAATGGTCAAACAAATATCTGCTGTCTTCAAGAGACATACCTAACAATTAAGGGATTCTTATAGACACAAGGTAAAAGATACTCCACATAAATGGAAACCAAAAGTGAGCAATAGTAGCTATCAGGTAAAACAGACTTTAAAGCAACAACTAAAGCAACAACCATTTAAAAAAGAGACAAAGAAGGTCATTATATAATGATAAAACAATCAATCCAAGAAGAAGATTTTACAATTCTAAGTATATATGACCTAACTCTGGAACTCCCAGATGCATAAGACAATTACTACTAGACCTCAGAAAACAGACAGACAACAACACAATAATAGTGGGGGACTTCAGTACTCCACTGACAGCACTAAACAGATCATCAAGACACAAAGTCAACAAATAAATACTGGATTTGAATTGTGCCCTAGAACAAATGTACCTAACAAATATTTACAGAACATTCTACCCAAGAATTGCAGAATATACATTCTTCTCATGAACACATGAAACATTCTCCAAGATAGACCATATGATAGGCACAAAACAAATCTTAATAAATTTTTAAAAATGAAAGTCATATCAAATATCTTCCCAGACCACAGTGGAATAAAACTAGAAATCAATTTCAAAGGAACCCTCAAAACTGTACAAATACATGGAAATTACACAGTTTGCTCCTGAGTGATTTTGGAGTTAACAATAAAATCAAGATGGAAATTAAAAAGTTCTTCAAAATGAATAATAACAGTGACACAATTTGTCAAAACCTCTGGGATACAGCAAAAGCAGTTCTAAGGAAAAAGCTTATGACACTAAATGCCTACATCAAAAAGTCTGAAAAATCACAAATTGACAACCTAATATCACACCTCAAGGAACTAGAGAAACAAGTATAAACCAAACCAAAGTTATCAGAAGAAATAACAAGGATCAGAGAAGAACTAAATAAAATTGAAACCAACATATGATCATCTCAATAGATGCAGAAAAAGCAGTCAATAAAATCCAGCATCTCTTTCTGATAAAATTCCTCAACAAACTAGTTATATATATATATTATATATATATTATATATATATATAATATATATATATAATATATATTATATATATAATATATATATTATATATATATAATATATATATGATTAATTAAATGAAAACTTGGTTCTTCTAAGGATAAACAAAATTGATAGAACCATTAGCTAGTTTAAGCTTAACTAGAAATGAAAATGGAGATATTACAACCAACACCACAAAAATACAAAAGATTATTTGAGACTACTATGAACACTTCTACGCACATGAATTAGAAAACCTAGAGGAAATAGACAAATTCTTGGAAATATACAATCCTCTTAGCTTGAATAAGGAAAAAATAGAAATCCTGAACAGACCAATAACAAGCAGTGAGATTGAATCATGAACAAAAAATTCACCACCAACAAAAAAAAGCCCAGGGCCAGATGGATTCAGAGCCAAATTCTACCAGACATTCAAAGAAAAATTGGTACAGTCCTACTGAAACTATTCCAAATGATTGAGAAAGAGAAAAATCCTCCCTAACTCATTCTATGAAGCCAATATCACCCTGATACCAAAGCCAGGAAGGGACATCCAAAAACAGAAAATTACAGACCAATATCCTGGATGAACATAGATGCTAAATCCTCAAGAAAATACTAGGAAATAGCACATCAAAAAGATGATATACTATGATCAAGTGGGTTTCATCCCAGGGATGCAGGTATGGTTCAACATATGCAAGTCAATAAATGTGATTTATCACATAAACAGAATTAAAAATGAAAACCATATGATCATCTCAATAAATGCAGAAAAATCATTCAATAAAATCCAGCATCCTTTCTGATAAAATTCCTCAATGTACTAGTCATATAAGGAACATGCCTCAAAATAATAAAAGCTATATGTGACAGACCCACAGCCAACATCATGCTGAATGAGGAAAAGTTGAAAGCACTCCCTCTGAGGACTGGAAAAAGACATGGATGCCTACTTTCACCACTTGTATTCAACATAGTACTAGAAGTCCTAGCCAGAGAAACCAGGCAAGAGAAATATATAAAAGGCATCAAAATTGGAAAAGACAAAGTCAAATTATCACTGTTCACCAATGATATGATTGTATACCTAGGAAACACTAAAGACTCTTCCAAAAGACTCCTAGACCTGATAAACAAATTCAGCAAAGTTTCGGGTTACAAAATCAATGTACACAAAGTAGCACTGCTATACACCAACAGCAACCAAGCTAAAATCAAATAAAGAAGTCAATCTATCCCTTTTGCACAGACGAAAAATACATAAAATAAAATACCTAGGAATATACTTAACCAAGGAGGTGAAAGACCTCTACAACAACTCCAAAATACTGCTGAAAGAAATCATGGATGACACAAACAAATGGAAATACATCTCATGTTCACGGATTGGAAGAATCAATATCATGAAAATGACCATACTGCCAAAGCAATCTACATATTCAATGCAATCTCTATCAAAATATCAATATCATTTTTCACTGAATTAGAGAAAATAATCCTAAAATTCACACAGAACCAAAAAAAGAGCCTGAATAGGCAAAGTAATCCTAAGCAAAAAGAAGAAATACCAAGGCATCACATTACCTGACTTCAAATTATGCTACAAGGCTGTAGTAACCCAAACAGCATGGTACTGGTATAAATGTAGACACATAGATCAATGGAACAAAAAAAAAGAGCCCAGAAATGAATCCAAATACTTACAACCAACTAATCTTTGACAAAGTATACAAAAGGCACCCTATTCAATAAATTGTACTGGTAAAACTGAATGGCCACATGTAAGAAAATAAAACTGGATCCCTATCTCTCACCACATACAAAAATCAGCTCAAAATAGATTAAAGACTTCAATATAAGACCAGAAAACATAAAAATTCTAGAAGAAAAACTAGGGAAAACTCTTCTGGACATTGGCCTAAGCAAAGAATTTATGCCTAAAACCCCAAAAGCAAATGCAACAACAACAACAAAAAAATGGGATTTAATTCAACTAAAAAGTTTCTGCACAGCAAAAATAATAATAATAATGATAATAATAATAATAGAGTAAACAGACAACCCCAGAATGGATTTGCATCCAACAAAGGACTAATATCCAGAATCTACAAAGAACTCAAACAAATCAGCAAGAAAAAATAAATAATCCTAGCAAACAGTGGGCAAATGACATGAATAGACATTTCACAAAAGATGATATACAAATGGCAAAGAAATGTAAGAAAAATGCTCCACATCACTAATCATCAGGGAAATGGAAATTAAAATTATGAGATGCCACCTTTGGATAAACACTTCCCTAATCCAAAGAGCCAGAGTCACTTCTCCTTTGAATCACGAGAAACTTCAGGTTACCTGATTCCACAAAGGATCTGGGTCAGCTTACAGAGACTCCAATCAACAAAACTATAAAAGGTTTATTTTTCAAGTAAAATCCTAGGGGTATGTGCATTAGAACAGGTGGGTAAGCAGAAGGGAGAAGGACTATTGAGAAGGACAAAAGCACAGGTAAGCTGGCTCTAGGATGCTACTGTATTCCGGCCAGGTTTGAACAGGAAATTTAGCTCTGTGTTTCCAGACAGCAAAATCAAAAGGAAATGTGGTTAAGTATATAATACCTATTGCCCATAATATATCCATTGTTCATTTTTTTCTCAAGAGAAACAAAAATTTTTTATCACTTAGCCTTACATGCATTATCAAACTGCAAGTGCATTTGGACAAAGGTGTGTCTTACACATCTTTGAATTTCCAACAGCACCTAATGCAGTGCCTCGCCTCTAGCAGGTGATAATTAAATAACTATCCAATTAAATTTAACTCCTTTTATTTATTCATTCAACAGATATATATTGTACATTTACTAAGTGCCTGGCACTGTGCTAGGATTGCAACAACAGAGGCTCTTCTTCTCACACAGCTTATATTCCTCAAATACTCCTTGGCATCAATTATCCTAGGGAGAATACAACATTGAACACTTCTTATGACATGAAATTCTATAAGCTTGCCAAAATCTGTCTTTGTCTATTTGTTTGATCATGTACATTTAGAGAACAGAGGTTACAAATGTACCTGGAAGCTGAAGTCATGTTTTCTTTGACCCAGTGGGTGTTTTTAATTGTTTGCCAGTTGTGACGGTTTATTTTATGTGTCAACTTGGCTGGGCTATGTTGTGCCCAGATATCTGGTCAAACATTATTCTGGGTGTTTCTATGAGGGTATTTTTGAGCAAGAGAAACCTTGAGCAGAGTTTGAGTAAAGGAAGTTTCCCCCATGTGAGTAAGCTCCTTCAGAAAGACCAGTATTCCCCAGGAAGAGAGAATTCCCCAACAGACTGCTTTCAGACTTCATCTGCAACATTGGCTCTTCTGGGTTCTGGAGAAGACTGCCTTTAGACTGAAAGTAGAATGTCAGCTTTCCTGGATCTCCAGTCTGCCAGCTCACCCTGCAGATTATAGACTTGTCAGCCTCGATAGTCATGTGAGCAAATACCTTAGAAATTAATTAATTAATTAATATCCTGTTTATTCTGTTTCTCTGGAGAATTCTGACTAATCTACCAGCATTTAAAAATGGGAAGATTTCAGGCAAGAATTTATATTTCTAGCCTACATCAGTCAGAGTCCAACCTCAGAGAAAAGAAATAACTCTGAATCTTTGACACACGAAGTACATAATGGAGAAAATTGGTCATATAGGTGAAGCGAGAACTGATAAACAGGGAATTGTGAGGGAGCATAGAGATTAGCAACAAAAGGAAGCCACTGTCACATCGAAACGGGAGAGAGAGGAGGAGGCAGATATAGGGTGTGAAGGAAGGGATGAGGAGAGAACTAAGGTCACTCAGTGGAAGCCGGAGTTGTAATAGGCCTGTCTCTCAAAAGCTAGCGTCATTTTGGAGATATTTCTGTTGCTGGAGGCATTGTTCAAGGCTGAGAGGCAGGGTTAGAAACAACCAAGTTTCTCCCTTTTTCCTCACCCCCATCTCCCACCAGTGCCTCCCATTGGTAGGACCCAGACAGAAGCCAGCTGAAATGGAATCTGGAAACCGCAGCCTATAGGAGTCAGTCTGCACAATTTAAAGCTAAGCGGTGGGAGTGGAAGAATAGACTTAAGGGCAAAAAGATTGACTTCTGAGCAGTCTCCCCTGAAAAATAAGATATTACAACATGAGCCTTGCAATCTTGCTCACACCTGTGGGCTTGAGCTGAGTAGTAGCTGTGTCCCTTAGCCTGGGCACACTCTCCTCAGTTTGCCTTAAGTTGAACCTGCCCATTTTCTTCCATTAAGTTGCCTGCCTAGACCATACAGGCCTCTGTCACAGAGACTGGAAAACACAGAATACTGAGGCTGAAAAAGTGCTATGGATTGAATGTCTGTGTGTCCTCTCAAATTCACATGTTGAAACCCTAATTCCCAATGTGATGGTATTTGGAGGTGGGGCCTTTGAAAGGTAATCAGGTCATAAAAGTAGAGCCCTCATGAATGGGATTAGTCCTCTTATAAAAAGAGACAAAAGAGATGAACTCTCCCTCCTTTTCTCATGTGAGGATAAGCAAGAAGATGACTATCTTCAAACCAGGAAAAGAGCCCTGTCTTAGTCCATTTAGTGTTGATATAAGAGAATACTTGAGACTGGGTAGTTTGCAGGGAAAAGAGGTTTATTTATCTCATAATCCTGCAGGCTGTACAAGAAACATGGCATAGGCACCTGCTCAGCTTCTGGTGAGGGCCACATATTACGTCAAAAAATGGCAGAGAAAGTCAAAGGAAAAGTAGACACATGCAAAGCAGAACTAAAATCAAGAAGTATTCTGGCCTTACAACAACTCACTCTCTCAGGAACTAATCTGTTTCTGCAAGAACTAATTCCATCTTACTAGAGCGAGAACTCACTACCAGGAGAACAACAATAAGCCATTCATGACAGATCCTCCCCCATGGCCCAAACACTTCCCAACAGGCCCCACCTCCCCACACTGCCACATTGAGGATCAAATTTCAACATGAGATTTGGTGGGAACAAACAAGCCATAACCAAGCCATAGCATTCTGCCCCTGGCCCCCCAAAATTCATGTCCTTCTCACATTCAAAACACAATTAGACAATTTTCTCTTCTAATAGTTCCAAAAGTGTTCACTAGTCCCAGTATCAAGTCAAAAGTCCAAAGTCCAACATCTCATTTGAGACTCAAGGCAAGTTCCTTCTAGCTATAAACCTATAGGGAAATTTACATTTTTCCCCTTAAGATTCAATAATTTGAGTCTATAAAACAATCTGATACTAGACAGATTAGTAGGAAAAAGGCATTCAAATTTTATGACATACATATATGTGCACAAGAGTCATATAAAATATTAAAACTCAAAGAAATGTAAGAGGGTTGACACTTTTATACCATCTTGAGGTTACAGAAGAAATGAGGGCTCTAGAGCATGGCAAAATAGGTTATGGTAGCAAAACAGGTTATGGAAGGAAGAGAAGAGGAAACACCTTACTAGCAAAGGGGTCTTACTATGCAGATGAAACCTCACAGGTAGCAGCCTTCAGAAAAAAATAAATCGTAGCCAGCAGTAAATATTTCTGTCAGAGCTTTAAATTGTCAGACTCTCAATTCATCTTTCCCAGGTCCCAACAAGGGGGGCTTCAAAGAAAGCCTGTTTCTATCTGTTGTTTACTTCACTTCATTTCCTCCACAGATGCAAACCTCTCCCTCAAAAGTCAGTTTTTCATCTGTTCTGGTGTCAGCATCTGCTCAGTTTCTGGTGAGGGTCATATGCTAGGTCTAAATATAACATAGAAGGTTAAAGGAGAAGTGAACATACACAAAGAGGAAACAAACCCAAGCATATGGGTTCATCTTGCCCACTGCCCAAAAAAGCTATTGCACTAACAGCAGGTTTTTGTGGCAAAGGACTTATGATTAACACAGGGCTAACCAAGATGAAGCTTATTACTCAAATCAGCCTCCCCAAGAACTCAGTCTAAGGTTCTTATGGATAACTTGTGGGGGGTGGGGGGGTAGGGGGGGGTGGGGGGGGGCTAGGATAAGAAATCAGGTGCTACTGATTGGTTAGGGATGAAATTATAGAGGTATGGAAAATGGTTCTTGTGCACTGAGTCAGCCTCTGGAAGGGGGTCACAGGACCAATTGAGTCATCAGGCATGGGTCTAGGTGAAATCAATTTGTCACCAGAATACAAAAATCTAAACAATCTCAAAAGACCAATCTTACATTCTGCGATAGTGATGTTACCTGTAGGAGCAATTGGTGAAATTACAAGTCTGTGGCCTCTGCTTCATGACTCCTGAGCAGTAAGGGATTATAGGAAAACAAGCTAGGAAACAACAGCTGTTTATCATTTAACTATACTTACATTTTAGCAGAATTCAGGCCCCTCTCAGAATACTAATCTTGTGACCTTTCATTGTCTTACAAAGACTGTTTCAGTCTCCAAACAAGGAGCGGATCAGTTTTAGGAAGCGACTATTATTATCCTTGCTTCACAATTAAACTGTAAACTAAATTCTTCTCATGGTTAGCTTCGTCCATGCCCAGGAATGAGCGGAGACAGCCAGCCTGTGATGCTAGAGGCAAGACGGAGGCGGCCATGCCAGACTTCTCTCACGTCATAATCTTTGCAAAGGCAGTTTCACAATGGTTGTCTTGGTTTTATAACAACTCACTGTATCAGGAACTAATTCAGTCTCATGAGTACTAATCCTGTCCCACTAGAGCAAGAATTTACTGCTGAAAGAACTGCACCAAGCCATTGATGATGACCTAAGCATCTCCCACTAGGTTTTCCCTCCCAACACCACCACAAGTTTTAACATAAGATTTGCCAGGGATAAACAAGCCGTATCCAAAACTAGCACGTCCCCACCAGGAGCCAAATCAACAACACCTTGATCTTGAGCTTCCCAGCCTCCAGAACTGTGCAAAATAAATGTTTGTTGTTTAAGTCACCCAGTCTATGGTATTTATTATAGCAGCCCCCAAACGGACTCAGAGAGGGAAACTGAAAGATCATCTAGTCCAATCTAGGTACTTATCATATTACAGAGGAGAGAGTGAAACCCAGAGGGAGACAGATTTACCTAATTTGATAGGTGGCAGAGCCAAGCTGCTCTTTCAGTTTGGTGTTCTTTCCTGTACACATCTATCTGTGGAAAGGGGAATTTAAAATTCTCCCTCTAATCGCAGAGACAGTTCCCTGGGGAATGGCTGTATTTTAAAATGCAAAACAACAACCTAGACTTTTGAATAACAAAACGATTGGTTTAAATCAGGTGGAAAACCTATTTACAAAATGGGTTTAATATAAAAAAAATCTCCAAAACCTGATCTGAAGGAATTTTGCCTTCGTGTTTTTTTTCTTTTGCTATGTCTGAACATATTCTTTTTCCTTTAAAGTGACTTTAGAAGGAATACCTAATGAAGGCTACTACAATGATGCTTTTTTATGAATTAAAATAGTTGTTTCATTGTTTTGGATGACTACACTGGTTCTCTCGGTATCTTATTCTGTTAGGTGCTCTAGCTTTTATCTAACTCAAAAGAAAATAGGGAGGGGGAATCTTTTCTGGATTACCATATGCATTTGTGTCTTTTTCTGTCTTTCCCATATTTCATCACACAATTGGAGGAAAAATAATTTGTACAGCTCAGTAATTTGAATTTTAGAGCAAGTGTTCTGAAACTTCAGACTTACCAAAGAGGTATGAACTGGGTTTAATTGAATCTTAGTTGCTTAAGTAGGTTGAGGCGTTAATGTTTATCTGATTCTTCATCATCTGCTCCTGTTTGGACTCGTAAGCCTCTTCTCTAAATTGGTTTACTCCTTTCTCAGCACAGAGATTTGCCAGGAGAAATTTCTGGAAATTCAGCAGCAGGTGTCAGTGCTGCAAAGGTCCATCCAGTCAGGTAATCTCACAGCTTCCTCTCTTCTCATATCAACTGCAAACTATTTATTATGTAGGAAATATATGCTAATAAATATGGTAATCCATATCAGTTTTAATTATTTTAGTTTGCTTCACTATTTCAATAATAAAACATTAACAACCATTTGAGTTCACTAATTCTAGATTTCCAAAAAGTGATTCCTAGAATTTTAAAAGAAAAATATTTGGTTAACAACAATATTTCATGTTAGAAGAAAAGAAGGAAGAGATTCTGTCTGGAGGAAGAAGATTAGTTTTGGATTTTTTGTTTGTTTGTCTTCTCAATATATCTCTTTTTCTTAGGGTGAAAAGCTTATGTCATTTATAAAAATGAGGTTACAAATTAGCTCACTGGTGCTCATCAGTAGTTTATTAGTCTCAATCTTATTAATAATCATACTGTTCTTTCTGGGAAGCTAATAGCAAACTGAAGATCACTTTGAAAGATAATTGGCTTTGGCTTAGTAACAAAGCCATGTTTATAGATGTCTCTGGAAAAAAAGAAACCCACACACCATCAAATAATATTAGAGTGTCATGGTCCTTATGGCCAGATTAAGACTACTTCCAGGTGTCTCCCTTCCTCAGTAAGCTTCCTGTTTCCCACCAAACCAAAACCAGAACATATTGCTGACCAAAACACAAACGGTTTATATCCAGCCTGTTCTTCCTGAACAGTATCCAACTTTATTTGGAAGCAGAAATTGCCTATTCTCTGGAGATGAGTTGTGATTAGCCAAATCAATTCTGTTCCTCACTTTCCCAGTCTCCTTGCAACTAAATATGGCCCGGTGATATAATCCTTGTCTAGAAAATATATGTGAAGGTGGCCTGATAAAGGATCTTACATGTCCTGCTCCTTCCCCATTTTTCCTGATGGCTGGACCTATAGCAGCCATCTCGTAGCCGTGAGGCAACCAACAGGAGAATGAAGGTGTACACGCGAAGAATAACAGTTCAGAATGATAGAAAGTAACTGGGTCCCTGATGGGAGAGTTGAGAAGATGAGCCTACAACAGTAACCACCTACCCCTGGAATGCCAATAATGTAAAAACAAAAATCTTAATAAATTATTGGTGTAAGCTACTGCTGGCGTTTCTAACTGCTATAACCTCCTTTTCCCAGGAAAATCCTAGAACCTTTGTCTGTGACACTATTCTTCCATTTACTCTGATAAAAATAAAAGAACAAAAACATCTTGTTGTCCATATTCTTACACCATTAAAACAACATGCACAGGGTTAGGATTTTCATCAGTTTGACAATTTACTAAAGTGTTTAATTTACTTCTGTGCCAGAAAAATCTTGTAGCTGCATCCAAACTGATTATTTATAACGTGAGATGTTATTTGAATGACAGTGTATTTTATTTTCCAATTACATTTTGTTTAAGAGGTAAAATATCCATTTATAAAACTACTGCTGCTATAAAATGGTTTTACTATTAAAATCTAGATCCCTTAATTTATTCATATAGAATCCATTATAGTATACAATTTGGATGGACTGGGGTCATAATAAGAAGTCTCTTTTAATATCAGAAACAAACAATAACAGAAGCAGATTTAATCTGTCAGCCTTAATCTTAAACTCCAGATAAATTCTGCTTTACCTATCTCAAACAAGTGAAACAAGAGTGATTAGAAGTTAATAAAATCAGTATGTAGTATAAAATAGATGCTAAATAAAGTTAATGAGTCAAGATAATATAATTCTGACTACACAGGATACTAGTTTATAGTATCTGAAGTTTCAGCAAACAAGTTGAATCCCAGCTGAGTTCCAACCTAACTATATGTACTTAATGTTCTTTAACATATAAGTTCAGGTATCCAAAATAGATAAATGAGAGCTAAAATAATAAACACTGTATAATTATTTCATACTCTTCCAAGGTTTTCATAAAATCTTTAATTGAATCCATCACAAAATTATTAATATATAAACTGGTCAATTCAAGTATCTAGTTTCACTATATCTTTTCATTACAGTAACCAGTTGCTAGATTGAAGTGTTTCCCACATAAGATGTTTCTTATGTAGAATGACTTGATAGGAGCTATAAAGAAAGGTTATGTAACATAATGGGCAGTGCACATACTTCAGAGACAAAATAGAGTTCATTCTTTGCAATTGATCACTGTGCATCCTTGGGCTAGTCACTTAATTTTACTGAGCTTCAGTTTCCTCCAAGGTTGAATCGAGATCATACCTACCTTTAAAGATTGTTGTGAAAATCATTTTATAAATAAGTATCCTGTCAAACTACAAGCCGGTGAAACCCTAATTTTATGATGCTAAAAATTAGTTGGTTCTGAATCACTTAATGCCTATATGAAATACCTGCAGTATAGATTATATGCTTGTAGCAATTCAAGTCCTAATAGAAAAAACCAAAGAGGCATCTTGATACCTTAGAAACATCTGGATAGACACAGATGAGAATTGTAAAGCACCAGAATGTCCTGAGACCTCTGAGGTGACAGAATCAAATCCCTTCCCCTTGTAAGAGAAGAAAAGCTTCCTCCTCCTTGGAGGGAGATCTTATAAAAATGTCATCAGATATTTGTCCTTCCCAATATTCACCCTCTTTTCCCCTCAACATAAACCCCTAATGCTACTACATACTGGCAGGATTTAGAGGAAAATGTGGGAGATAGAGCTGAGGGATGTTGGACAAGGAAGATAGAATATAAGTTTGGATAGAAGCAAGTGTATTAACATAGGAGTACTTTTCTATGATTCAAGGCTTAATATCATACAAAGCCTTTGTAACTGGTCATAATACGCTGCTGGGATAGGCTTGACATGGCAATGTCCTAGAATAAAATATATGGGGATGCTGAAACTGTGTTACTGTATTTTGAGGAAATGGTCAAAAGGCTTATGGAAGTGGAAGTGTTACAATATATTTATGAGAGCCTAAGAACCCCCCCACATGATTCTGTTCTCCAGAAGGATCCAGAGGACATTAAAGAATGCATTATTTATTTTCAGATATGGGAACAGCAGCATAAAACTATAATCCCTACAAGTGAATTGCGCCCTACAACTGATCCAGCTTATTGCTAGAAGCAGTTTCCAGGTTACAGCACAGGGAAGAGTACCCAAATAGAGCCCAGGAGTCTCCTTGAATTGAACAAATAGAAACTAAACTTTAGGGAAATTAAGACAACTAAAATGTGTAGGACAAAATACTGAAGAGGTAAGAGCTTCACAGAGGGAGACCTCTGGACTTCCACAGAGTGATCCCTTTGAGTCTTTGGCTGAGTACTGATCAGTACCTTTTTGTGGTGACACCTCACAAGGCTAGAGAAAGAAACACCGGACAGAAGTAGGATGAATAATTCCTGGAAACTACAGCAAGAGTGGAGAGATATCACCACCCCATCAGCCAGACTGAAGAGACCTTGTAATACATTGAGCACTGGGAAGCCTTGTGAGAAGAGTATTACCTTAGCAGTGACTCTAAGTTAGCCCTGACTGAAGCTTGTCTGGACCCACCCTAACAGAGCTTACAAACAAACCACTAAAGAGTTAAACTGATCCTAAGTAAATTGACTGAACGAAGCCTGATACTCTTTAAAGAAATACAATAAAATTTAATACCTAACAATATGAAATTTACAGTGTTCAGTGACCAACACACAAGGCATGTAAAGAAGCAGGAAACATGACCCATAACAATAAGAAAAATCAACCAATAGAAAACACTCAGAAATGGCAGAATTTAGTAATAGGATAGTAAAACAGCTATTATAAACATGTTCCATATAATCAGAAATATAAAGGAAAACATGAATATGGTCAAAGAGATACAAAGAATTGTATTCAAGTTACAAGATAAAGTCATCTTTTCTCTTCCAAGCCTCATGGTAACCTCAAATCTAAAAACAGACAATGGATACACAAAAAAATAAAAAGCAAGACATTAAAACATACCACCAGAAAAAAATGACCTTCACTAAAAGGAAGATAGGAAGGAAGGAAAAATGAAGAGAAGACAACAAAACAACCAGAAAACAACAAAATGCAGGAGTAAGTCCTTACTCATCAACAGTAACATTGAATGTAAATGGTCTAAACTCTCAAAACAAAAGACACAGACTGGCTGAATGAATCAAAAAGAAAAAAAAGACCCAATGAACCCAGTGACTTTTTGCCTACAAAAAACAGACTTCACCTGTAAAGACACACATGGACTGAAATTAAGGGGGATGGGAAAAGATAGTCCATGCAAATGGAAAACAAACAAACAAAAAAAAAAAACAAGAGTAATTATACTTATATTATATTAGACTACATAGCTTTCAATAGAAAAACTATAAAAACAGACAAAGAAGGTCATATAGTGAAAAAGCAGTCAATTCAGCAAGAGGACATAACAATTTTAAATATATATGCACCCAACAAAGGAGCACCCAGACATATAAAGGAAATATTATTAGAGCTAAAGAGAGAGAGAGACCTCAGTACAAAAATAACTGTAGACTTCAACACCCCACCTTTGGCGTTGGACAGATCATCCAGAGAGAAAATCGACAAAGAAATATTGGACTCATTATGTACTATAGACCAAATGGACCTAATAGATATTTACAGAACATTTCATCCAATGGCTGCAGAATACACATTCTCCTCAGGACATGGATCATTATCAAGGAGAGACCCTATTTTAGGCCACAAAACAAGTCTTAAAACATTCAAAAATTGAAATCATATCAAGAATCCTCTTTCACCACAGTACAATAAAACTAGAAACCAATAATAAGAGGAATTTTGGAAACTATACAAACACATGGAAATTAAACAATATGCTCCTGAATGACCAGTAATCTAGTGAAGAGATTAAGAAGGAAATTTTAAAATTTCTTGAAACAAGTGATAATGGAAAAACAACATACCAAAACCTATGGAATACAGTGAAGGCAGTAATGAGCTATAAGTGCCTACATCAAAAAGGAAGAAAAATTTTACATAAACAACCTAATGATGCATCTGAAAGAACCAGAAGAGCAAGCCAAATGCAAAGTTAGTGGATGAAAAGAAATAATAAAGATCTGAGTAGAAATAAATAAAGAAAACCATACAAAATATCAACAAAACAAGAAGTTGCTTTTTTGAAAAGAAAAATTGACAGACCTTTGGCTAGCATAGCTAAGAAAAAAGAGAGGACATTGAAATAAATAAAATCAGAGATGAAAAAGGAGACATTACAACCAATACCACAGAAATTCAAAGGATCACCAGAGGCTACTATAAGCAATTATATGACAATAAATTGGAAAACCTTGAAAAAAAATGAATCAATTCCTACACACATGAAACCTACCAAGATTGAACCATAAAGGAATCCAAAACCTGAATAGACCAATAACAAGTAATGAGATCAAAGCTGTAATAAGTAGTCTCCCAGTAAAGAAAAAGAACTAATACCAATTCTACTCAAACTATTCCAAAAAATAGAGGAAGAGTGAATACTTCTAAACTCATTGTATGACACCAGTATTACCTTAATACCAAAACCAGAGTCATATCCGAAAAAGAAAAGTAAAGGCCAATATCCCTATGCAAAAATCCTCAACAAAATGCCAGCAAACCAAATTCAACAACACATTTAAAAGATAACCTATTAGGACCAAGTGGAATTTATCCCAGGGATGCAAGGATGGTTCAACATACACAAAGCCATAAACGTGATACATCACATCACAGAATGAAGGACAAAAACCATATGATCATTCCAACTGACGCTGGAAAAGTATTTAATAAAATTTGTCATCCCGCAAGATAAAAACTCTCAAAACACTGAGTATAGAAGGAACACACCTAAACATAATAAAAGTCACATACAACAGATCCACATCTAGTATTATACAGAATGAGGATAAACTGAAAGCCTTTCCTCTAAGATATGGTATACAAGGTTGCCCACTTTCACCACTGATATTCTACATATTACTGGAAGTCTTAGCTAGAGCAATCAAACAAGAGAAAGAAATAAAGGGCATCAAAATCAGAAAGGAAGAAGTCAAATTAACATTGTTTTTATGATATGATCTTATCTTTGGAAAAACCTAAAAACTCCACACAAAAAAAAACTATTAGAACTGTAATAGTTCTAATAGTCAGTAAAGTCAGTAAAGTTGCAGGATATAAAATCAATATACAAAAACCAGTAGCATTTACATATGCCACAGCAAACAATATGAAAAAGAAATCAAGAAAGTAATCCCATTTATAACAGTTACAAATAAAATTCAATATCCAGTTATTAACCAAAGAAGTGAAAGATCTCCACAATGAAAACTATAAAACACTAATGAAAGAATTTGAAAAGGACACCAAAAAAATGGAAAAATATTACCTGTTCATGGATTGGAAGAATCAATATTGTTAAAACTTTCATACTACCCAAAGCAATCTACAGATTCAATATAATCCCTATCAAAATACTAATGACATTCTTCATAGAAGTAGAAAAAACAATCCTACAATTCATATGGACCACAAAAGACCCAGAATAGCCAAAGCTATCCTAAGCAAAAAGAACAAAACTTGAATCATATTACCTGACTTTAAATTATAGTACTGAACTACAGTAACCAAAATGGCATGGCACTGGCAAAAGAAAAAAAAAAACAGGCATATAGACCAATATAACAGAATACAGAACCCAGAAACATATCTTTACCTCTACAGTGAACTCATTTTTGACAAAGGTGCCAGAACATACACTGGGGAAGGACAATCTCTTCAACAAACTATGCTGAGAAAACTAGATACCCATATGTGGAAGACTGAAACTAGACCCCTATTTCTCACCATATATTAATTTTAAAAAATCAAACAGATAAAAGGCTTAAGTCTAAGACCTCAAACTATGAAACTACTACAAGAAAACGTTGAGGAAAATCTGCAGAACATTGGTTTGAGCAAAAATTTCTTGAGCGATACCACACGAATACAGTCAACCAAAGCAAAAGTGGACAAATGGGATCAACTAGAGTTAAAAAGCTTCTGCACAGCAAAGGAAACAATCAATGCAGTGAAAAGACAAACCACCAAGTGGGAGAAAATATTTCCAAACCCTCCACCTGACAAGGGATTAAGAAACAGAATATATAAGAAGCTCAAACAACTCTATAGAAAAAAAAATCTAATAATCCAATTAAAAAATGGGCAAAAGATCTTAATAGACATTTCTCAGAAGATGACATACAAATGCCAAACAGGCACATAAAAAGATGTTCAACATCACTGATCATCAGAGTACTGCAAATCAAAACTACAATGAGATATTATCTCACTCCAGTTAAAATGGCTTTTATCCAAAAGACAGGCAATAATAAATGCTTGCAAGAATGTGGAGAAGAGGAAACCCTTGTACACAGGAGTTGGTGGGAATGCAAACTAGTACAACCACAAGAACAGTTTGGTTCTTGTGGTTTTTATCTCAGAAAACTAAAATAGAGATACCATTTGATCCAGTAACATTACTACTAGGTATTTTTTTTTCAAGTTTCAACATGAATTTTATTTTTTTTATTATTATTATACTTTAAATTTTAGGGTACATGTGCACAATGTGCAGGTTAGTTACATATGTATACATGTGCCATGCTGGTGTGCTGCACCCATTAACTTGTCATTTAGCATTAGGTATTTACCCAGAAGAAGGGAAATCAGTATATGGAAGAGATATCTGCATACCCACATTTATTGCAGCACTATTCACAATAAAAAAGTTTGGAAGCAACCTAAATGTTCATCAAAATATAAGCAGATAAAGTAAATGTGGTACATATCCATGATGGAGTACTATTCAGCCATGAAAAAAATGAGATCCTGTCATTTGCAACAACATGGATGAAACTGGAGATCATTATGTTGAGTGAAATAAGCCAGGCATGGAAAGAAACTTCACATGTTCTCACTTACTTGTGGTAGCTAAAGTTTAAAACAATTGAACTCATAGAGATAGAGAGTAGAAGGGTGATTACCAGAGGCTGAGAAGAGTAGTCAGGGAGGGGAGTGGTTAAGTGGGGATAGTTAATGGGTATGCAAAAATAGAAGGACTGAGTAAGACCTAGTGTTTAATAGCACAGCAGGGTGACTATAGTCAATAATAACTTAATCTTGTATTTTAGAATAACTGAAAGTGTATAATTGGATTGTTCATAATGCAAGAGATGAATGCTTGGGATGATAGATGATCCATTTACCTTGATGTGATTGTTTCACATTACATGCCTGTATCAGTATGTTCCATGTACCCCATAGGTATATATACTACTATGTACCCACCAAAATTAAAAATCAAAAACAGAGAAATTAAAACCCAGTCAAAGCAGCTCTGGTCAGAAGGGCTTCCTCCTTAGCATAGGAAGCATAGCAGGCAGGCAGCACACTCCCTAGGATCTAGCAGCTAAGAGCGTGAGATTTGGAGTTCAATTTGAGTTTGTCACCACCATTTATGAGTCTGTGACTTTGTGAAAATTGATTTTCCCTAAGCCTTAGTTTTCTCACCTATTGAAAGGGGATAGTAGGTGTTTTAAAAGCAGCTTAATTCGTGGAGCTCTCATGAAGATTACATGAGCTGGTGACTGGGAGCAGTTACTGTTGCTCTTGCCACAGCTGGACCCTGGGATCACCATGACACCAGTGAATACTGAGTGCACACAATAACAAATACATGGAATGACTGACTGGACTGCTGAGTTTTTTATGTTTTTAATGAAGTCTGACATATGAAAAGGAAAGTGCGTAAGTTCTGAGATTAATTATCAGAGTGAATACACCTATACACACCTATAGCCACCATCTTAGTCAAGAAACAGGACATGGCCAGCACCCGGAAAGTCCCTTTAACCCCTCCCAATTATACTTCCTCCCTCTCTCTAGAAGTTAATGTCCTAAATTCCAACAACATAGATTAGTTTTCCTACTTTTCAACTTTGTGTAAATGGAATCATAGTGTCTATTCTTTCTGTGCCTGGATTCTTTCATTCAACACTATAGTTGAGAGATTTGAGAGATTCTCCATGATGTCCTATGAGGTGGTAGTTTGTTCACTTTGAATAATGTACTGTTACATAAATTTTTCTTTCTACCATGGGTGGATATTTGGGTTGTTTCCACGTTGGAGCTGTCATGAAAAGTATATTGTAATGAACTTTCTTGTATATTTTTTGAAGTGGGGCCTCAATCAGAAGGATTTGGGCCTCCTTTGTACATTTCTTGATGTCCTTATGTACATACACATTAATGTTGAGTGTTCTACCTAGAGGATTGCTGTCCAGCCTTAATGAATAACATTAAAAAGTTTTCCAAAATAATTGAACCAATTTGTATTTACTTGAAACTACTGCCACAATTTTTATTTGTTTAATAATGCACAGAAACTAGTCCCTTAATTCAATAAATACAAAGCTCTCCTAGAATAGGATTTCCCAAAGTGTGGAATACAAGTCCTGCCAGAGACTCTGAAAATTAAAATAGGTTTTTTGGTTCAAATAATTTTGAAAATCATTGCATATTATATCATCTTCTCAGAGAATGTACCTTAACACATTAAAATCTCTGAGAAGCCCTTTATTTAAAAATAATAGGCTAAGTTTGTTTGAATGATAAGTAGTTGCTTTGGCCCACAGAGCCCTTTTGAGGCTGTAACACCTGTAGATAACACAAAGATGCAGCCAGTGAATGGATTCAGACAGCAGGAAAGGGACAGCCATCTTTTGGTGCTGTAAAGCTACAGTGCTTAATAACTGAGATGCCAATTCCCTCTTTGAGGATGGTGGTCTATTATTATTGGCACAATAATAATCTGAAAGGTGGTAATCTCTTTTATCTTTAAAAGTTTTTTGAGGTTTTCTAATATTTGACATGCCTTTTCAGCTGTTGTGGATTAACCCCTAAATCAACAAATAATTACTGGTGGTCTGCTGTGCACCCAGAATTGCACTAGGTTTGTGGAATAGATAAGATATTGCTTGCTTATTGAAAATTACTTATAGTCTAGTTAGTGAATGCATGTGTAGTTAATACAATCACAAGTTTATCTTTTCTCAATTTTTTTTGGTAGGGATGGGGTCTCACTATTTTGCCCAGACTGGCCTCAAGATCTCCTGGCCTCAAGAGATCCTCCCACCTTGGCCCCCCAGAGCTCTGGGATTACAGGAATGAGCCATGTGCCAGGCCAAAAGTTTATATTTTATGAAACAGAAGTTACCCCCAGTACCTGATTAAACTTTTTGTTATTTCTGATCTGATTGGCTAAAAATCAGGTATCTGATTTTAATTTGCATTCCCCTGATTACTAGTGAGACTAAGCCTCTTTTAATGTTTATTGGCCATTCTGATTTCCTCTTCTGTGAATTCACATCACCCACTTTTCTTTGAATTTCTGTTTTATACAGACTTTATACAATCATAAAAAACAATATTAGCAAATTATTACAAGTATATACTATCTCACAAATATAGTAAAGAGATTCTGGATACCAGTTTTTTGTTTTGTTGTAAATATCTTCTCTGAGTCTGTGGCTCATCTTTTAACTATGTTTATGGTGTATTATCCTGTATAGTAGTTATATAGTTAAAGGTGATACAATATATTTCTCCTCTCTTTTGTGAGATTTTTTGTTACTTGTTTATGAAGCCTTTCCCTATAAAGAAGTCATATATAAATATATTCTGCTATTAAAAAAGAAAACGGAGCAATGAAAACAATTTAAAATAAAGCATAGATAGAAAAAAATGAAATAAATAGATCATCAGTTACTGGGACATTATAAAGCAGTGTAACATATATATTAGGAGTACCATAATGGGAAGCATGAAGGGAAAAAAAAATATTATATAATACAATTTCTGAAAACCAGTGACAAAGAGAAAATCTTAAAAGCAGCCAGAGCACAAAGACAGAAGATGTACCGAAACACAAAGACGGACAACAGACCTCATGTGAAAAACTATGGAAGCAAGAAGACTGTAGAGTAACACCTTTAAAGTATTGAAAAGAATGCACTGGTGAGAAGGGCTCACTTCCAGTGAGGTCAGTGACAACTATCCTTTATAAAGTTCACTGTAGGAAACGGTGTCATAGAATCATGTTTCTTAGTGTCAATAGGAATGACAGGACTATAAAATGGTAGGGTCCCAGTGGCAGTACCTAAATGTAAGAGGAAAAGTGAACATTATTACCACTATGAAGAGCAAGGTCAGAGTGGCAGCCAGTACCTTGACCTTCAAGGTCTGTGTTAATGGCCAGTAGGTCATGGTGTTCCCAGGGGCAAGATAGATAGACAGCTTTTTATGGTGTTGTCTGTCAACTGAAAAAAAAAAAATCAGAAACTGGCCAGCAGAAAGTTGGTATCAGCTGTCACTAAAAAATCAAGTTACCACACCCATTTTCCTATTGATAGATCCAGAGCATATTGATTGAAAAAGAAGCTGAACCTCCTTGAAGAACCCTGGAATGCCAACACAAGTAGACACACTAAAAATCCCTCCAATCCTTTCTCAGTGGGTCTGTGACCAGAGTAAATGAATGGTGGTGGGGGCAGGAAGGGAAATGAGACCTTTTCAGGATTTGGGATGCAAGATCTGGGTCACACAAGGGGACCTGAAATACACTGACCTGCTTATTAGAGTAGGCACATATGGAAGCCAGGTGATATATGACTTTCTGACCCAATCCTCCTCACAGAGAGTCTAGACCCATCCTGTGGCTATTTCTCCAATACCTCAGGGTATAGTTGGAACTAGATATACCCAGTGCCTAACAGAAAGTTCACATTGGTTTTTCGTTTTGTAAAATAAGGGCCACCATGCTAGGAAGAGCCAAACAGAAGCTCATGTAATTGCTCTCCCCAGACAAAATACCAAATCAAAATCAATACTATATTGTAGGAGTACCTTCAGAGATTGAAGCCATCATCAAAATTTAAAGGATGCAAAGGTGGTAGTCACATGATAGCTCCACTTAACTTCACTGTAAAGCACATTTAAAAAATGAATCATGTTAAATGACAGTGGAACATTGTGGTACCTGCAATTACAGCTGCCATGAGGAATGAATTATCCTAATTGGCACAAAACAACAAGGATTCTGGAACTTATTATGAAGTTCTTGATGTGGCATATGAGCTTCTGTCAATCCCTGTTGATATGGAATTCAAAATTGCTTTGCTTTTTGGTGGAAAGTACAGCACTGTACATTCACTGTCTTGTCCCCAAGCAAGTCAACCCTACACTGTCATAATAGTGTTGATGGCTATTGTGAAACCTTGGTTCTTGTCTTCTGATATGGTTAGGCTTTCTGTCCCCACCCAAATCTCATCTTGAATTTTAATCCGTATAATCCCCATAATCCCCAAGTGTCAAGAGAGAGACCAGTTTGAGGTAATTGAATCATGGGGGCAGTTTCCCCCACGATGTTCTCATGATAGTGAGTGAGTTCTCATGAGATCTGATGGTTTTACAAGGGGCTCTTCCCCCTTTGCTCAGGACTTCTCTCTCCTGCCTCCTTGTGAAGAAGGTGCCTTGCTTCCCCTTTGCCTTTCACCATGATCGTAAGTTTCCTGAGGCCTCCCCAGCCATGCAAAAATGTGAGTCAATTAAACCTCTTTCCTTTATAAATCACACAGTCTCAGGCAGTTCTTTATAGCAGTATGAAAATGGACTGCCGGGCATGGTGGCTCACACCTATAATCCCAGCACCTTGAAAGGCCAAGGCAGGTGGATCACCTAAGGTCAAGAGTTCAAGACCAGCCTGACCAATATGGTGAAATCCCATCTCTAATTAGCCAGGTGTGGTGGCATGCACCTGTAGTCCCAGCTACTCTGGAGGCTGAGATGAGAATTGCTTGAACCTGGGAGGCAGAGATTGCAGTTAGCTGAGATCATGCCACTGCACTCCAGCCTGGGTGACAGAATGAGACTCTGTCTCAAAAAAAAAGAAAAAGAAAAAGAAAATGGACTAATACATCTTATCAGTTTAAAAGAATTTAAACAAGAGACACACAGCAAAGGAGATGAAGCATAGAGCAATTTATTGCAAAGGAGAAAGAATATTTTGAAAGTTAATGGCAGAATTGACAGTACACCCTGAGAAAGGATTCAGGGGAGGCTGCTCATAAGGATGAGACAGCAAAGACTGGCACTAGGAAGGCTCCTTTATGGGAGCCTTACATAATTATTCATAAGGAGGTGGGAAAAGGTGTTGCTAGTAAGCATGTTATGGGTGGTCCTCTGGGTGTACATGCATAGTAGCTGTACATGCATGTTCATATATTGCATGTCTCATTAACATCTTAAATCTCCACCCAGGGGTGTGTTTTTCATGATTATAATGAGCAAAGTGTCCGTTTGAGGACAGGTAAAATCAAAATGTGTGTGTTTTCTACAGGGGAAACTCCCTACTGGAGATAGCTTTGCTTGAATGAGCTTGACTACAATGCAAATGCTGAGGTCAACTGTGTTCACTGTAAGGTCACCATGGTTGTCCCAAGGACATGGTTACTTCCTTGACTACCTATCCTACCTCAATAGAGTCAAAAAGGACATTGATTATCTTTATTTTATTTTTTTTTTTTTTTGAGACAGAGTCTCTCTCTGTCGCAGGCTGGAGTGCAGTGGCATGATCTCGGCTCACTGCAACCTCCGCCTCCAGGGTTCAAGTGATTCTCCTGCCTCAGCCTCCTAAGTAGCTGGGAATACAGGCACCCACCACCAAGCCTGGCTAACTTTTTGTATTTTTAGTAGAGACACGATTTCACCATGTTAGCCAGGATGGTCTCGATCTCCTAACCTCGTGATCTCTCCACCTTGGCCTCCCAAAGTGCTGGGATTACAGGCATAAGCCACCACGCCCAGCCGATTATCTTTACTTTCTACAGAACATCATGCTAGTCCACTATGTATATTGATAAAATAATGTTAATTGGCCTTGATGACAGCTAACTAGTGGCCAAAAGAACTGGAACACCCAGGTCAGAACTGTTGTCAAATGCCATCTTTTTCCAGTAGGCAAAAAGCTATGACTTTAGCCAATTTATTTAACCTTGTTGTGTTTCATTTTTTATCTCTAAAATGGAGGTAACAGGACATACGTTAAAGAATTATTAAGAGAATGAAATGAGACAATATATATAAATATACTTAGTTTTTAATGTCTGGCACATAGCAGATACTAAAAAAATCCAACTAGTTAAATAAATGGAAGCTACTTATATTGAGTTTTGTAAAAGACTTACAGAGAAAATCTATTTATTTCAGGGCATGTGTGTGTGTGTGTGTTCCTTGTAAAGTTTCTGTGTGTTTTAACTCATATTTTTCGTGGGTTTTACTACACTAAAACCAGAATCTTGTTTAAGAAAAACACTCAAAAGAATGACAAATGTGGCTCCCAATTGTAACCTTCAGGCATTTGTTGAGTGTTAATCTCCAGTCATTTTTATTTAAATTGAAACTTCTTTAAGCTAATGTAACTCCAGTCAAGTTACATCCATAGAAGACAAACTAATGTTTTTAAACAGCCTTTGAATGTCAAAGAAATTTCTCTGCATAAGGCACCAGCTACCTAAAATTAACAGACGCTCCTCTAACATGTTAAAGTAGAATAATTTTAAACCCAAATAATTCCTTCACACATATTAAAAGCTTTCAGAATATTATAAATCATTAACCTTGTACTTCAAAAATAAACTCTCATGTTTAAAAACAAAAGATATTATTCTGTTCTTCAGAGCCAATATTCCAACAGCATGCTATTTCTGCAAAGACATACTTCTAATCACCAATTTCAAAGACTAGTGAAAGCAGATTGTTTACCCCTAAATCCCAGTGGAGGTGGTCAGCAAGTCACAACAAGAAATATAGATAATTTACATAGAGAAACAGGAAAAAAAGTCAACCTTTCCATGAATTTGAAATGCTTGAAGGTAACCTACACTGGGGTGCTGTCAGGGGTGGGAAATAGTGTAATTAAATTCAAATCAGTTATTTCCCTTGCAACTGCTAAGCAGGTAGAGAAAAAAATTATCGCCCACCTCAAAAATGGTTTCAGGGTTGTAAAGTTAAAAAAAATTAAATATGCTTAAATGGAATAAAACAGTACCATTAATACTCTAAATTAGGATGCGAAATGCTCCTAGAGTTTTGACATTTGTAAATTATCACTTGTGGCACAAGTATCTAAACAGTGGTACTCAAATATTTTTTTATGTCTAAACCTAAGGACACACTTCCAAATGTAAGAGTGGATCTCAAAGGTATTAAAACCTATAAGAATATTTAGAATGACAAAGTTCCTCAAGTGATTCTGATATGCCCTTCTCCTAGGTGGCCTATTCTCACATACTAATTGCCCTTGAGAATCACTGATCAAAATCCTGCAAAACAAACTGTATATACCAAAACATATTATAGCAAGAATTATAGATTTTTTTAAATCTTGGAATCATATCTTTAAATATACAAAGTACTAAATGGGAAACGTCACACAGACTTGGCCCCTGGGTGGGAAGCCCTAGTTGTTAAACATTCTCCTGCTTAATGAGCTGGAAAATCTGCCTAGTTCCATCTTCCTAGTATAGCACCTAAGTGTACTCATTATTCTACACAAAAGAGCTTCAAATTCTTAAACATAATGCAATTTTAGGAGAAAAAAGCGTGGCTTTGGAGTCAGATTCATTTAAGATTCACATTTCAGTTATTAGCTCTGTGACTTTGGGAACATGAATTAACTTCAATAAACTCAATTATATAATCTGTGAAATTGTAATAATACCAAATGACAAATAATCATTTATCTTCATCATTTAAATAATGATGGTAAATAAATGCAAGATTGTGAAGAATTAAATGAGATAATATAACAAAAATGTACAGCATAAATACCTTTGGCCATTCTTCATCTGCTATAATTTCCAATTATACAATCTCCTTCCTCCTGTTCCAATGCTCTGATTGAACCACTCATCTTATGGTGCATCTGAATTAGAAGGGGAATCACCTAGCATGTTCAACAGGTATACAAAGGAGGGTCTATGGCTGGTAGAGAGTTTTGGACTGGGACCCTTTCATTCCAGACATGGGAGTCAGCAAAATTTTTCTGTAAAGCAAAATACTAAATATTTTAGGCATTGAAGGCAACATACAGTCTATGTTGCATATATTTTTGTTTTTGCTTTTGTTTGAGAATGGCCCTGTGTCAAAAACAAAATGCACCAGACAATTAAGGCAATGATTTCATTCAAGCTATTGGAATAAGGTCAATGTTACTGCATGAAGAACATCTCAAAAAAAAAAAAAGAGAGAGAGAGAGAAAGGGACCTGTGGTAAACAAGGTAAACAAAGGAATCATCCTCGAGTTTTACGGTAGTTTTGAGGAAGGGTGGAAACAGGTGTTATCTTGGAATATCTCAGAGTAGGCTGGTCATCTGCAATTCGCCTCAGAAGACAAAAGCGTGGAGAGATTGTTTAATATTTGCTTTTGCCCAGAAGAGGGTTTCAAGTGAAGTTCATTCCACATTGTCACCTTTAAAGACTTAAAATCACTCTTAGATTGTGGGCCAGAGAAAAACTGGCTGCTAGCCAGATTTGGCTCTCAGGAGTATACTTTACTGCACCTTTTTCCAAAGAATTGTTAAATTAACAGCAGCCCATCCTATCCTGCACACACTCACCCTCAATCTGCCTTACCCAAGCACTACATATAAATAATCATTTGACATTTGATGAGTTTTTACC
This sequence comes from Homo sapiens, assembly GCF_000001405.40. Taxonomy (NCBI): domain Eukaryota; kingdom Metazoa; phylum Chordata; class Mammalia; order Primates; family Hominidae; genus Homo; species Homo sapiens. Next base: position 89,869,959 of record NC_000010.11, on the reverse strand, counting down.
ATGTCCCATCACTATACCAGGTGCTTTATGTGCACTATCTCATTTAATCTTCACAAATCATTCTGAGGTAGGTACTATTTCAATCCCATTTTATGGAGAACAAGTCTGGAGTGTAAAAAAGTAACAAAATGTGCTCAGGGCCATCTGGTAGACAAGGACAGGGCCAGGCTCCAACCCACATGCCTTTAACTCAAAAGCCACGTCCCTTAAACATGAAGTAGTTTGTTCTCTTCTAAGTCCTTTTAATCATTTGATCAGTCAATTGTCGCAACTCCTGACTTTCCTTTGCTATATAGACTCAGCCCAAATATGGCTAGGTTGGGTTTCTTTTTTCTTCAATTTAACAGATGCAAAACCTTAAAATGACTTCAATTTGAAAACATAGTCCTTTATGTCTTTAAACAAGTAAGAATTTGGTACATAATGCATTCACTCAGTTACTAAATTCAGAGAACAGCATGTGACGAAAGTCCCAAAACGCTCTGTAATTCTTGCCAAAACATCTTGGGTTCAGAGCTGGATTTACAGAAAATGTAAGATATTTATGAGCATTAATTGTAGGAAAACATTGCCCTCAGCAGGTTATAAAATGTTATCAGTGTTCCTGATTCTGGTCATATGTTTCTCAGAAGGATTGAATCCATCAGAGCTGAGCTGCTATGCTTGGCACAATACCAAGTCATAACAGATTTAGTTCAGAAGGGAACTGGATGCAATTATCTCTAAGCTTTTTTCTGATACCTACCAAGAAAGCAAGCTGCCCTGTGAGTAATGGCCAAAGTATAGCTGTCCAGAGCCACCACCAGGCTAATTGGACATCACCTCTAGAAAGCGTCTGTATAAAATGGCACACCCAAGTGAGCATGAAAAAGAGAATTATATTCTCGGGGTCTAAAGAAAACTATGCTGGGATCTTTGTTTTGCCAGGAAGCTAGTGTGTTATGTGTTTTACTTAGACTCTTTGGGTGCAAGTAGCAGAAACCAACTCAAGCTAGCTAGAAAAAAAGACATGAGGGGACATTGCTAAGAGATACAAGAGAATATCATGGAATCCATAGTGTAGCTGGGTCTGAAGAAAGAACTGGATGAAAGACAGGAAGGGCATTAGGGTTCTCTTTCCATCTCTCATTTGTGCTGATCTTTGTACAACCTTCATGATTCTCTCCGTTCACTGGGTTTCTTTGCTTCCCAATCCCCATGGTAAGAAAGATATCCACCCTGCAGCTCCCAAGTTAACAAGTAATGGTCCAGCCAAGTAAACAGTCCCATTTCTAAATTCCTAAGAGATTTTTCCATACAAGTGTTCCTTGACTTATGAAGGGGTTACATCCTGATAAACCTATCATAAGTTGAAAATATCTTTAAGTCAAAAATGCATTTAATACACCTAACCTACCAAACATTAGCTTAACTTACCTTAAACATGTTCATAACACTTACATTAGCCTACAGTGGAAAAAATAATCTAAGACAAAGCCTATTTTATAATAAAGTGTTGAAGAGCTCATGTAACTTATTGAATACTGCAGATTTTGTCAAAATTGCTGCAGTCTTACACCATAATAAAGTCAAAAAATCTTAAGTAGAAGCATTATAAGTTGGGGACCATCTGTATCAGGTTAAGTTTCTATACTTCATTCAGTCAACCCAGAACAAGAGACCTAGGGTCACATGGACAAAAATTGCAGCATGGAAACATATCCTTATGAGTCATGGAGGAAATAGAGAGAAGGCTAATTCCCTAAGAAAGAGATGTTTATTAGCTTCTCAGCTGCACAAGCAATTCCAAAAGAATCTGTGCACTAGGTACCTCAACATGTGTTAATTGAGAACTTACCAGGCTCTCAAGTTGGTAAAGCTACGCTGTGAAAATTATCATACCACCTCTGACTGCAGAGTGAACACCCTTTCTCCTCCCTGCTGACTCAAAGGTGAGGAGTATCATATGACCCAAGCTGGAAACTGCAGGAACCGTGAACTAAAAACCAACATGCAAACATAAATACACAAATTCATTTATTCTACAAATACTGTCTTGACAATTCTGATGTGCCAGGATCTATGCTAGGTGCCAGGTTTCAGACAGTGAATAAGATGAACATGGTTGCAGTCCACACTAAGCTTAGTTCCAGCCCAGGAGACAGCTGCATACTGGGGTTCAGAAAAGCCTCTGAAAAAAATATGTACTTAGAAACAAGACTCAAGGACACGTGCTCATTGTTAATAGTTATTACCTCTAAGAGGTAGGATTACAGGTGATTTTTACATTTTTTCTTCTTTTTACTTAACTCTTCTCCACTTTCCCAACATTAAATGGATATTTCTTGCATAATTATAATAAAAAAGAAAGACCCAAAATAAACAAAAAGTAAAAAAAAAAATTGTTTTCTAACCTGCCAAAAGAGAGAGATCCCTTAAGCTAGGAGCAAATACTTCCATTGTCAAGTAAAATACATAATAAAAGCACCCCTTGCAAAAGGAACATGTTCAAGTTCACACTTGATGCAAGATCTTTTTCCAAGAGCATTTTTGCCTGGAATCAACAGTGGATTGGAGAACAGGTACCCATGGAGGTACCTTCTAATAATTCATAAATCCACTGCTGGATGTTCTCACTTCTCTGTGGTAGCTAAAAAGAGCAGAAGGATGGACACCACAGGCTGAAAAGTGTAGTCAGGGTGGGCAAGGGGATAGGGAAATAGTTAATGGCTAAAAAAAAAAGTTAGAAATAATAAATAAGACCTAGTAGTTGCTAGCACAACAGGGTGAGTATAGTTAAAAAAAAGAAAAAAGAAAAATTTTAATTGTACATTTTTATGTAACTAAGAGTATAATTGGACTGTCTGAAACACAAAAGATAAATGCTTGAGGTGATACTCTATTTACCCTGATGTGATTATTATGCATTGGATGCCTGGATCAAAATATCTCATGTAACCTATATACATATACACCTACTATGTACCCATGATAATTTAAACTTAAAAAGTTAAAAAAAAAAAGAATTATTGCCGGTGAAAGATCCATCTTTAACCTCTTTGACTCCCACCCCCGAGGTATTTATAGGATATTTTGCTAAAAACAGAAATGTGAACTAATGGAGACCATAAAACAGAGTGACTTGAGGAGAGCCCTCTGGCAACAAGCTGATTGCTTGAAAAAAAGTGAGAAAACCAAATAAGAGACTGCTTCAGTGGTCCAGTTCCCATGGGGATTCATCATCTCTAGAAAGATTTTTATCAAAAAAAACAAAAAAAACAAAAAAAAAAAACCTCTTGTAGCAATAGCGTTTATCATGTCCCAGAGGGAGAAGTAGGTCAAAATGGATGGCCTTTCTCTAACAACCTTACAGCCTTTGAAAGCCAGGTTGGCTTCACTACCCTTCCCACAAAAGCACTTTCCCAATGAAGATGAAGAAGGGAGGACAGGAAGCCAGGTGAGAGGTCTAGGGCTGGAGTTTCTGACAGCCAGCATAGAGCAGGCAGCCACATCCACTGCAATGTCACGTACAAATCAGAAAGAATGGAACATCATCACCCAGATGTCCAAAACAGAGACTTTGGACACCATCCTGAATTATTTTCCTTCCCTTACTTTTCACATCACATGATTCATTGAATTCTGCCTAGTCTACCTCCTAAACATTTCTTGAATCTATCACTTCTCTCCAATCTCATGCCACCATCATAATCCAAACCACTATTCTCTTTCACCTAGATTCCAAAAGTTTCTACTCCTCTCTCCTACCTTTCCCCATCTCTAGACTTCCCCTGCCTCCCACCCCCAAAACCCTTTCTCCACTCTATAGCTAGGAGGATCTTTCTAAACACACATCTGATCAGGTCACTGTTCTGCTTGAAGTCACTCAGAAGCTCCCACTGCATTTAAATTAAAGACCAAATTCCTTCACATGGCTTAGAGAAGGCCTCTAGAATCTCACTTCAGTGGTCTCTCCCCCATTCCCTCTCTGCCCCTTTCCCACCCTCAGCCATATTGAACTACTTTCAGATCCTTGAACATGTCCTGCTGTCTCTCACCTCCAGGCCTTTGTGCATGTTGGTTGCACTGCCTTAAACATTTCCTTCACTTTCCTTACCTGTATGATTTTTAGTTTCTGCTTAAACATCTCTTTCTCTAGAAAACTTCCCAAGCTCCCTAAACCTGTGTTAGATGTCCCTCCTATGTGCTCCCATGGTCCTTTGCACGTCCCAGGGTACAGGCTCCATGAAAGCAGGAACCTCATCTGTTCTAGACAGATATCAAATATATCCAGAGTGTTGATGACAAACTAGGTACTGAATAGGTGCTTATGGCCCAGGCTGAGATCTATCTGTGTATCTCTCTTTCACTCAAGCAGAAATCTTTCCAGAGTCTTCTACCACTCAGCCCCCTCCCCCCACACACAAAAAAAAAACATTCCCTGCTTCTCACTATCTTCTGGGTATAGGTTTTCCTCAGCATAAACATTAACATAGTCACCTCAGAATGGGCCCACCACAGCTAGGGGAAAGACTTCTAATCTACCCTCATGCATCTTTACCGAGTCTCCTGGCTGCTCCCCCATCCCCAAGGCTAGATGTTTTATACAGCACCTTAGATAGCCCCTGGATTGGAAACAGCTCTGCTCCTGAAAACATTAAATAGCTCTGACTTTGTAAACATCCCTGAAACCATTAAAAGCTCCCAATGTCTCAGGAACGGATTTGGGAGTATAATTTGTATACTCACATAAGGTTGGGGCTAAATAAGGTCTCCCGTGTCAGCTCTTACACTTTCTAGTCAAGGAAAGTGATATAGGAAGATGTGTCTTGCCTCAGGTCATAAACCTTCAAAATAAAGAAACTGGGGGAGCCAAGACTAGAACTGATGACTTTTTACACTTCCAGATGTACCAGGACTTCTCCTAAAAGAAAATATATCAATATGAACTTACTGCCCAACATGGTCCCTGAATTTTCAAGCCCCACATTTCCACATAGGGTGCTCTCTCCCTAGTGCACAATATATAGAGATCCCTGCTGTCCTTGGGATCCGCTCTCCTTGACCTCAGCGTTGCAAGCAGGTTAATTCTAAAAACATTTTCTGATTGACAGAAATATTTTGCTGAAAAGTAATACAATTAAGGTACACGCTGAAAAACCAATCTGAGGCTGATTCTACCAAATTAACCTATCGGAACAAATTGACAGGTCACTTCAGGAAAATCACCAGTTAATCTGGTTTTTTTAAAACTGAATTCTCAAAGATAGAATTGACTGCCTCTTTCATCAAGGGCTGTCTTTTGTCTTAATATCATACTGGCTCGCTGTCGATAAAAATGAAACATTTTATTTCTCAAATCCTCATCCTCAATTGGTTCATCTTATGCTCCAGTGGGTAACATTTCTACTTTTTGAGACTTTTGAGAGTTTAAATGGCTTGTATCATTTTGCTTGGGATTTTTGTTTTCTCTAGAATTGAAGGAGAAGTGAATTTCACTGACCAGTAACAGAGTAAGTATTTCTGGAATCTGCTCAAGTTTGCACATAGAATTTAGCATCATCTTGATTATTTAAAAATTTAGCTGTGAACATAAATATCTAAATATATCTGCCTACACATATAGACAACTGATTTCCTCAAGAATTAAATATGAAGATTTATTTATTTGTTCATTCAAGGAATATTTTATTTAGAAATAAATATATTCTCAGTGGTTCTGTGCTAGTGGTAATATTTAAAAGATTGATACAACAAAGTCCGTGTCCTCAAGTAACTTACTGCCTGGAGAAAAAAAGACAGTCAACTAAGCAAACACCAGATGCAGTAGGTAGGAAACAGAACAATCTCTCCATGTCTCATTACAAAATCTTTATCGCCCATTAGTCCAGAGAGGGGTGAAGGAGGCATCTATCATTCTGGTCTGAAACACTGGCACACAGTAAGAAATAGCATGCCCAGTGATGCTAGGTCTAGCCTGTGGGAAAAAAAACACAAAAACTGTAACTTAGATGTTTATATTTAGTCCTATCTCAACTTTTCCCTCTCGCCACTCTCAGCTCCAGCTATAAAATTATCCCTCCATTGCCACTTGACATTAATGAGAAATAATAATAATAGCTAACATTTATTACTACCAGGCAGGCACTACACTATGTTCCTGACATATTGTTGTGCATTACATCCTAATGGCAACTACTAGATAGCATCATCATTATCCTCATGTCAGTATAATAAATGGAGAAACATAAAGGCTAAAGAATTTGCACAAAGAATTTGGACTCAGGTAATCTGCTCAGTATCCAATGTCTACACCATCATTGTTTACTGGAACTGATACACTAAATCATTTTTCTGACCAAAAACTAGTGTATGGTGTCCCACTTCCCACCCCTTTCCCCTCAAAAGCTATTTTCATTTTAAAGAACGACTTGATTTAAAAGCCTTCTGCACAGCAAAAGAAATAACCAGCAGAGTGAAAAAAACAATCCACAGAGTAGGAGAAAACATTTGCAAACTATATATCTAACTAAGAACTAATATCCAGAACCTACAAGGAACTCAAACAAATCTGCAAGAAAAAATAATAATAATCCCATCAAATAGTGGGCAAAGGACATGAGTAGACAATTCTCAAAAGAAGATATACAAATGGCCAAGAAAAATATGAAAAAATGCTCAACATCACTAATTATCAGGGAAAGACAAATTAAAACCACAATGAGATACCACCTTACACCTGCAAGAATAGTCATAATTTAGATATCAAAAAATAATAGATATTGGCATGGATGCAGAGAAAAGGGAACACTTTCACACTGCTGGTGGGAATGTAATGAGTATAACCACTATGGAAAATAGTATGGAGATTCCTTAAGGAAATGAAAGTAGAGCTGCCATTCGACCCAGCAGTCCCACTACTGGATATCTACCCAAAGGAAAAGAAGTCATTATATGAAAAAGACACATGCACACACATGTTTACAGCAGCATAACTCGCAATTGCAAAATATGGACCCAATGTAAATGCCCATCAACCAATGAGTGGATAAACAAATGTGGTATATATGCACCATGGAATACTACTCAGCCTTAAAATTGAATGGAACTATGGCCTTTGCAGCAACTTGGATGGAGTTGAAGGCCCTTATTCCAAGTAATGTAACTCAGGAATGGAAAACCAAATACCATATGTTCTCACTTAAAAGTGGGAGCTAAGCTATGAGGAGGCAATGGCATAAGAAGGATATAATGGACTTTGAGGATTTGGCAGGGAAGGATGGAGGAGGGTGAGGGATAAAAGACTACATATTGGGTACAGTGTTCACTGCTCAGGTGATGGGTGCATGAAAAACCTCAGAAATCATCACTAAAGAACTTATCCACGTAACCAAAAGCCACCTGTACCCCCAAAACTATTGAAATTAAACAAATAAATAAAAATTAAAAAGAAGGACTTGAATCCATTGTGTTGGAATGTCAGGCATTGTGAAATGATAAGGGGACAGCACACCCAGAGATGCTACTACGAGGTCCTCCAGCCTATTGAAAAAAAACTCTATCTTAGTTGTTTATATTTTGTCCTATTTCAACTTTTCCCTCTCTCAACTCCCAATGCCTGGGAACAGACCCTGATACTGTCCCTAAAAAGCACCAAACAGTCATTTGGCATGTACTTTTAAGAAGCAGGGAGCTGAACAAATTAGGCTTTAGATTAATATGCAAATGACTCACATAACAATTAAAAAGGAGTCAAAGTCTGTTCCTGACTCACTTTCATCCCCTCTTGAGAGCTGAGAATTAGGCCCCAAACACCCTGCCATAAGCCCAGTAATCTCAGCAATTACTGTGCACACATAAGTGGCATGAGTCATCCCAGCTCATGCAAGATGAAGAGTCTGAGGTAACAATCACATTTTAAGGCACTTTAAACTTTTTCAAGTAGGGCTCTGTTTCGTTTTTTTAACTTTCACTGCACTTCTTCCCAAGTTAAAAGGATAGCTATAATAATACCTATCCTAAAGATAAACTCAGAACCAGCCAAGCATTACCCCACATAACATGACTACCAAATGCCAGAGCCTTACTCTTGCTAGGCACAGCTCTTTCTATAACTTGCTTTTCTCCCTGTGAACTGTTTCTCATCCTCCAAAACCCAACACAAATGCCACCTCTTCTGAGAAGACATCCCCCAGGAGGAATGAGTCACTCTCATCTTCTGTGTGCTCTCAAAACAGTTTGTAACACACCAAATATCTCTTGTAGCCCTTGTGTATTGGTTCTGGTTAGAGGGACCTCTTTTATACATCAAGAGTGCTTAGTATAGCACAGGGGTCGGCAAACTGCAGTGTGCAGACCAAATCTGGCCCACCGTTCCTCTATAGCCCTTGAACTAAGTATAGCCTTTATATTTTTAAAGAGTTGTGAAGAAGAGGAAAAAGAAGAAAAAAAGAAAGGCAGAAGAAGAAAGAAGAAGGAGGGGGAGGAGGAGGAGGAAGGAGGAAGAGGAGGAAAAGGAGGAGGAGGGGGAAGAGGAGGAGGAGGGGGAAGAGGAGGAGGAAGAGGGAGAAGAGGAGGAGGAGGAGTGGAAGAGGAGGAGGAGGAGGAAGAAGAGGAAGAGGAGAGGGAAGAGGAGGAGGAGGGGGAAGAGGAGGAGTAGGGAAAAGGAGAGAGAGAAGGAGAAGGGGAAGGAGAAGGAAGAAGAGGAAGAGGAGGAGGAGAAAAAAGAAAAAGAATATGTGACAGAGTCTGTATGTGACCTGCAAAGCCTAACATATTTCCTATCTAGTCCTTTACCATGATAGCAGGGGCCCAATCATGGATCACTATGTAAATTTATTGCTGATCAGGCCCTAACCTACCTTTCTAGCCATCTCTTCAGTAAACCTTATGCTCCAGACATACAGAACCAATAGGATTTACCAAATATTTTGGACTTTTTCACACCTCAATATTCTTTGCTCATGATCAGTTTTCCCTTTTGGCTTGCCTGATAGTGTGTGTCTGTGTGTGTGTGTGTGTGTGTGTGTGTGTGTGTGTGTGTGTGTGTGTACACATTGGCCCCGTTTCATTAACTTATTGTTGCTATGGCTGGTTTCACTTTCCTTTTCTTTGTTATTCGGATAGAGTTTACATGCAGAGAAATCCACTAAACTTAAGTGTGCAGCTCAAAAACATCTGCTAAAAAACATACATCTCTATCAAGACAAAACTTTTCCAACACCCCAGAAAGTTTCCTCATATCTCTCCCCAACTGGTCTCATCCCCTACCCTAAGCCAAAAGACAACTAATAGTCTGCATTTCTGTCTCCACAGATTCATTTTGCCTGCTATAGAGCTTCATGTAAACAAAATCATACAGTATTTACTCTTTAGTGACCATTTTTTTTTACTTAGCATACTATGTGAGACTCTTCCAGTGGCTCATACCAGTTCACAAGAGCTGAATGCTAAATTTTCAGAAACTCTGAGAGCTGGTTGTTAAAAAAACTATCATCAAAAATTAAATTATATAAACTTACAATTAAATGACATTTTAAAAACAAAAATAATAATCAAAGGACATTATTTCCTAAGTATTTCCTACATTTTATTACATATTCTCTTGAAGTTACTTACAACCATTTTATCTGTATAGTGGTATGCTACTGAGCACCTCTTTCCAATTCCACGTTTCATAGGTAGGTTGAAATGGGCCAGTGTGAGTTACTACACCATGGAAATCAGCAAACACTACAAATAAGGACTTTTTAAAGTTATCAACAATATATTTAAAGCTAGTTAAACATTTATCACTAGGTCTATGTTGTCACATGTATCAATAGCTCCTTCATTTTTATTGCTGAATAGTACTCCATTGTATGATTATATTGCAATTTCTTCTTATTGTTTGAAGAATATTTGTGTTGCTAACACTTTTTTAGTATGAATAAAGCAACTATAAACATTCTTCTGTAAGCATTTCTGTTGCCTTGTGCTCCCATTTATTTTGGTAAATGCCTTGGAGAGCCGAAGGATAGGTATATGCTTAACTTTATAAGAAACTGACACACTTTTTCCAAGGAGGTTATGCAATTTCAAGGTTCCACAAGCAACACTGAGAGTTTCAGTTGCTTCACACTCTTAATTACATTGGCATCATCAGTTTCTCCTTTCTGCCACTCTATTACATGTGTAGTGATACCCCATTGGGGTTTTAATTTTTATTTCCTTGATGATTAATAATTTGAGAATTTTTCATGTGTTTATGGGTCATTGTATATTTTTTACTATGAATTTTCTGGCCAAGACTTTTGCAGTTTGGGAGGGTTGTTTTTATTTTTTTTAATATTGAGAAGTATAAGTTCTTTATATATTCCCAAAAGAAGATTTTTACTAAATATTTTTTACTATTTTCTCCCCTGTTAATGACATATCTATTCCTATTATTGATGTCTTTTGATAAAGAGAAGTTTTAAATTTTTCTGAAGTCCAATTTTTATCAATTTTGCCCTTTTTGGATTCTGCTTTCTGTGACTTTTCTTTTCTAGAAAATATTTGTCAACACAAGTCATGAAGATTTTCTCCTATGTTTACTTCTAGAAATTTAAAGATTTGGTTTTCATATTTAGGCCTATGATCCATTTTGAAATAATTTTTGTGGATGGTATAAGTGAGGTAGGAAGCAAGGTTCATTTTGGTTTTCTTGAAAGATAGTCATTTCTTCCAGCACTATTTTCCATTTAATTCTTTTGGTAATTCAGAAATTAGTTGACTATATTAATGTAGGTCTATTTCTGGTTTCTATCCATTCCATGATTTATTTGCCTATCCCTACATCAATATTACAGTGTCTTGATTACTGTAAGCTTTATGGTAAATTTTAAAATAACTTTTTTCTGTTATCTTTCAAAATTTGTTTATGCTAGGTCTTTTGTATATCTACATAATTTTTTAGGTCAGCTTGTTAATTTCTAAAAAGAAAAGTCTTGATATTTTGATTGAGATTGCATTGATCAATTTGGGGAGAATGGACATCTTAATAATATTGTGTTTTATGATTCATGAACATGCTATAATATCTCTTCATTTATTTAGGCCTTCTTTAAGTCTTTCTATAATATTTCTTACTTTTTAGCAGAAGGCTCTTACATAGTTCTCATTAAATTTGTCCTACAGTACTTTTTTATGCTGTTACAAATGTTGTGGTTTTTAAAGGTTATTTTCCAGTTGTTCATTGCTAGTATATAGAAGTACAATTAAACGCATCATGATCTTGAACCATGAGGCCTAGCTACATTCACTTACTGGTTCAATTTTTCACTTTTTTTTTCACTTTCGGTAGATTCCTTAAAATTTTCATTGCAGACAATCACACCAAATGTGAACAAAGCCAGTTTTACTTCTTTTCCAATCTGAATGCCTTTTGTGCCTTATTACACTGGCTAAGACCTCCAGGACAGTATAGGAAAAAAAGATGATGAGAGCAGACATCCTTGCCTTGTCCCCAGTCTCAGTGGAAAAGTGTTCAGCTATTCATTATTAAGTACAATGGCAGATGTAGGCTTTTCATAGATGCTTTTTATCAAACTGAGGACATTTCCTTATATTCATATTTTTCTTACTAGAGAATAAAAACTGAAATAGCAAGTAAATCTACCACAGACAGATATTGCTAAACTTTCAATGCTTTGTCCAGCACTTCAAATTTGATTAAAAAAAAAAAAGGTTATTGTTGAAAAAATGAATGAGTGACCGAACAGAGAAAAAAATATTTAAACTCTACTTCCAGAAATAAAGACACTGCCCAAGATGTACAACCAAGCAGTAATCTTCTCTTTCATTTGGGGGTACTTTAGGGTTCTCAAAGGAATTTCCCATGCAGTGTCACCTATCAGTTCCCCATCAGGGTATCATCAAGTAATCTACCTTGGAACAATGAGAAACAATCTTTGCTAAACTTCTCTGTTCAACACAAAGTGTATCAAAATCTAGAGAACTCAAAGAAGATCCACAGGAGAGCAACAAAAACAGAAATTAAACAGGCTTTCCAAGGAGAGATTAAAAGAATAGGAATTGTTTCAGTTAGAGGAGTAGAAAGTGACTATAAATTTTCAAGCCATAAAAGAATACCACATAAACAATGGTAGTTAGCCATGAGCCAGTTTCACTGAAGACAGAAAAGGACAAAGCTGACAGCTTGAAGAGGAATAAATTAGCATTAAATCTAAGGAAGAAATTGAGAGAGCTATGATTTAGCACTAATAAGAATAATCAGACATGTAACTATCAAAGGAAGTCTGTGTTTACATGACACATACAATGTAGATGAGGTTCTTTTTTAAGTTAAGGGAGTTGTTATTTTTCAGAATGTTTTTCATGCCACAGTCCTGCATTTGTGGAAAGCTCCTTGTAATATAAGGCAATATTTAGACACGAGGCTTCCAAGGCTGAGACTGCCATATAATGCAGTGGGATTTTTTCAGTAAACCATAACCTGAGCATCCTTAGAAGAGACTTGCCTTATCCTGACTTCTACTTTATCATGATTAATAATATTATGGAGATGTCAGTGAGTTTCTGCCATGAAATTTATGATCACCATGTGAGTGAGCCTGTAGCTATACATTTTTTATGCTCTGAGAAAGATATAGTTATCTCTACCTTCCCACAAAAACATCTTCTACTGAAAAATGCTTCTAAAATAGTTGCTAAGATACAGGTTTGACTGGAGCAATGAAAACAAGATAAATGAATTCACACTAAAGAGAAAAATATAAAATTCTAACTAAATCTAGGAAAATGAAAAAACTTCAGACTTCTTTGGCACTAGGTGGGCCAACGTGGGAAAGATTAGCTGACTCTTTATTACATTTCATCCAGATGTTCTGAAACCCAAAAATGTTGGCCAAGAATAAAATTTTAAAACAGCTTAAACTAAAATTGAAAACAAAGTTTTGGTGGCAAAACGCCTGCTAGGGTTTATTAAATGGTGCAGAGTTGTAAGGATTTAAATGAAAAGTGCACATAAGAAATTCTTGGAGGCATGAATGTCTAGAAGACTGCTGCAGAGGCCCATCTCAAGAACTCATTGAGGAATGCCTGGAATATTCTTAAAGACGGGAGCACTGCTGGAGATTTCCAAAGACTTACACAGCAATACAAAAATAAGGATGGCGACTTTATTTCGGGACCAGAGATCCTTCCATTTGGCTCAACTTCATGATGCATGTAACTGTTTGGAGCTAGAGAGATAAGTTGGAAGCAGATATGAGAAGAAACCCTGAGTCACCTATCAAAGCATGATCCGGGAAACTCCTTCATAGGGTGGGTAGTATGTCTAAGACACACGGAGCTAATCTGATAAGGTACTCTGATGAACATGTGTTTGTGTTGAAGACATCATTTATTCCTGAGTTCTTGACGTTTGCATTTTTATTTTGTTGAAAGTATAAGAGCCCATGCTTTTGATTTGGTCTTGAGTATCTTAACTCACTGAAATTTTGTTAAAGTCATTAAAAGGTGAAAGAGAAAAAAAAAATTGGAAAAGGCCAACTTGGGATGAAAGAAAATTTCTGAAAAGCACCTGTAGTTTCCCTTTCCTCTGAGCTTACTGTATATATTGCATTATCCTCAGCAAGTCGGCCAGGAAGACAGAAAGGAATTACTTTGCCTAGGGCCATTCCATTTATTGTGCTTGCCATTGAGACTGCCCTGACACATATACCAGGACTCACCTTTTCTTAACAGAAGACATTAGAAAGCAGAAGACATTTGCTTTTTAAAAAAGCAAAGGAAACACTTATTTCCCAAAGAATCTGTTAGTTCTGGAAGATAGTTCTCTTCTCAACTGCCAATAAAAAGGAGGCTTTTTTTCAGTTAACTGCTCAAATCTACAGGTATCTGAAATGTTAGAAATAACAAAGCCAACAAACTCAAAGTCTAGGTGAAACTGTGTATCCATTCAAATTCAAAACAGGAAGACATAAGTATTTGTTCTCACATTTTTCTCTAGCGTTCTTTTTGGAACTGAAATTTGATTCTTAAAGTGTCTACCTTGCTAAAGTTGAAATAATAATAGGATATCAAGGCAGGCCAGTGGGCAGCTTGAGCTTGATCCTTCTCCTTCCTTCTCCCATCTCCTCCACTCCTCCCCATACTCACTTTCAGCTTCAGAAAACAGAACTATGGGCAATACAAAATATTATTGGAAAAACCCATTAGGTGTCAAACAAGAAAATAATCTGTGTAAATCCAGCTACCTGGATGCAGGAACCATGAACACAGCCCTCCCTCGGGGCTCCCCTGAGCAGTGTGGGGTGTAGAGTTAACTGTCAGCTTAGAATACTGCCTCACCAGGTGCATATGTCTGCCCATTGACTCAAAATCTCGTGTTTATTTAAAAACACGCACTGAACTCATATAAGATGTTTGACACTATGCTGCGAAGATGAAATAAGAAGTGTCTTGAGTTCATGGAGTTCCCTTTGTAATGGAGGAAATGGAAACACACAACTAAAAAGCCCAGCACAATGCGAGAACAGTCAACGATGTGCCTGGAAGTTATTTTTGAAGTGAATGTTCAGTCCCCCTGAATTCAAAACAGGTAAGGGAAGTTTTCTTTGATAGTAACTTACATGGAAACACTCTCAACATCCAAATTTAGGGATTAGCATTTCATCTAAATGACAAAATATTACAATGTTTAAGTAAGTATTTTTAATTTCATACATATTTTTACATATACGCACATGCATATGTTCTCTGAGAATATAAGGAACTAGCCTGGGTAACATAATGAGACCACATCTCTACAAAAAAAAAAAAATTAAAAATTAGTCTGGCATAGTGGTGTCCACCCGTAGTCCCAGCTACTCTGGGGGGTGGAGGTGGGAGGATCACTTGAGCTAAGGACGTCGAGGCTGCCATGAGCTGTGATCACACCACTGTACTCTAGCCTGGGCAATAAAGCAAGAGACCCAGTCTCAAAAAAAAAAAAAGAAAGAAAGAAAGAAAAGAAGAAGAAAAGATAAAAAAAAGAAATATATATATATATACACACACATACATAAATACAGCAAAGATTATAACACGATAAAAATTGCATATATATATATGCAGTTTATATATAAAATACCAATATGAATCCAATAATAAATTTATAGCATGAACACTTACAACCCAGGGGGATGACTTCCCTTCCCCAAATTTCCAGGTATAGTGGATTCACTCCCATAATTTCGCCACAGTTTAGGAAATCCCAAACCCTGCCCCAAGATTTCTGCAGTTTCCCACGGGTTTCAGTGCTCACCTCCTCCTGAGCTCCTGCTTCCTTGACACATTTATGCTACTTGCATTGACCTAGACTCAACATTAATGCCTCTTCACAGCACCCCAAAAATATCCACCATGAAATGCCACAAATGCCTCCTCTGTGTCACCAGCCACCTCTGACTCCCTTTTTCCAGAGGACACCCAGCCCCATCCCTCCTTTTCTTCCTGTACCAAGGGACAGTATATTGTCCCATCCTAAAGCCAGAAAATGTATCAGCTTATCTTTATCAAAAAGAAAAAAGGGGGGAAAAAAAGGAATTTCACCCAAAAAGGAATTCTGATACCAGCTGTTACTCTAAAAAACATTTTTTTTAATTAAAAAATTAAAAGATGAAACACTCATTACACACCAAAAGGCTGTTAGAGGAATTCCAGCGCTTAGGGACTGGAATTTTTTTTTCTTTGTGGTTTTCTGTAGTTACCCAATTTTCCGTGTATTCCTTTACAAATAAAAAACACAATGGAAATGGTGTTGGTGAGAGCCCTACCTTGTGAGGGTGAAGGGCGGGCCGCCCACCACAGCCGGGCTCAGGAAGGGCCGGGAGTCTGCCCCGCGTCCCCTAGTGGCGCGGCCTGGTGAGTGCGTCCCCTGCTCCTATAGGGTCAGCAAAAGCTGCCCTTGCGAAGGTCACCTGCATCCCCACCCTTTAAAGCCAATTACCTTTTCTCGTGCCCATCCTTCTCAGCTTGGCTCTGCTGACAGTAGACAGGGCAGAACCCCGTGTCTGAGGCCTTGTCTTAGCGGCCGGAAGGGTGCAGAGCCTTGAGTCGCCACGTGGAGCCAGGTGAGCTAGAGTGGTTCTAAGTCCGTGAACTCTCTGTAACCTCCTTGGAAATCCGGGCAGCTGCTGTGTATTGCTGCCCCTCCTCATCACAGCTGCTTAATTGTTTCAACAGAGCAGTTTGCCTGTTTGGGGCTACAAATTAAAAGGTCTTGTTTCAGTTTGTGTGTTTCTTAAATTTCAATTCAATTTGTGACAGTAATCCTTTTTAGGATTCCCTAGCTCAGACACCTCGCTGTTTCCTAAAGTGAACAGCGCAGCCTCAAGCCTCCCTGCCATTCACTTAGCAGCCAAAGGGAGCCCGCAGTTACTGGGGATATCAGTTGCATATACACCCACTCCAGCATTCGGGCTGGGAGAAATAGTGTTTTAGTCCGATGTCACACTGTTCTAAAGAATACCTGAGACTGGGTGATTTATAAAGAAAATAGATTTAATTGACTCACAGTTCCACATGGCCGGGAGGATACAGGACACTTGCAATCATGGCAGAAGGTGAAGGGAAAGCAGGCACCTTCCTCACAAGGCAGCAGGAGAAAGAGCTCAAGGGAAACTGACTTTTTAAAACCATTTCTTATGAGAACTCCCTGTCAGGAGAACAGCATGGGGGAAACCACCCCCATGATCCAATCATCTCCCGCCCGGTCCCTCCCTCTATACATGGGGATTACAATTCGAGATGAGATTTGGGTGGGGACACAGAGCCAACCCATATCAAATAGTTCACCTGGTGAGTCCTGCTTTGGGAAGACCTCTGTCGTCTCCCCATTGTCCAGGGAGCTTCCTTCCTGTGCTCCCTGTTGGCCTCTAGGGAGTGCCCTTCTCTTCTCTTCTCTTAGCTTTCTTTTCCCTCACCAAAGTCTCCTAAGACTGCTGTCTTCAATCTTACAGTTTGCATCAACCCTTCTGTCGCATTTGTCTCTCTGCTCCAACTTGGGATTGGAGGGAATTTACTTACCATTCCCCAAACACCCCCTGACCTTTCTGGGCTTTGGGCCTGGCTTTCTCCAGACTTCACGTGCCCTTAAACCAGCACACTGAAAAATCTTCCACTCTCGTCTGGCTGCAGGACTCAACCCATACTCCTTTAATGAAGGTTGCCTCCCACGGTTCCAGGGCCAGTCACTTGGTGATGTCCTGATGGCATCTTCAAGGCCATCTCACAGTTTGTCTGCCCAATGGTACATCCACTCCAGTAGCCTCTTGCTCCCCTAAATCTCCTGCTGCTAGTAAATCCCCACAGGAACTACTGTCCATCCTCAGGAGTCTGGGCCTTATTGCTATTGGTAATAATAACAGCACCATTTCTGAGAGTTTTTTCTGTGCTTGCTGTGCTTATTGTCTGGATGCTTTTCATGACTTAGCTCTTTCATCCTCACATCAACCTAGGAGCAGACACAGGCAGGTGAAGGGCCAGGCCCCAGTGCCTCACCACAGGGAAACTGTGCTTTTCTGAAGCTCCTTCCTTGGGCTTCACTAGGTCCCTACAAGTGCCTAGGACCCACTGGGCTGGCAGTGCCTTTACATAAGCATGGGGTCAACCAGGTGCCATGACACCAGTCATATTGTTATGACTGCCATTTCATACATAAGAAATTAGAGGCATAATGAAGTTAAGATACCTTTTCCGAAGTTTCTTTGGGAACTAAGATTTGAATATAATTTCTTTGACTCCAGAGCCCAAGCTCTTAGCCATCACATGACACTGTTCTTCCTGTTTTTTTCTTCTGTCCTTTTTGATTTCAGTGTAAATTTTATCTTCCCAATACCCCTAAGGGTATACGTGTTGGA
This sequence comes from Homo sapiens, assembly GCF_000001405.40. NCBI lineage: Eukaryota > Metazoa > Chordata > Mammalia > Primates > Hominidae > Homo > Homo sapiens. The sequence continues at coordinate 89,852,095 of NC_000010.11, read as the reverse complement.
GTCCTCGGTTCCTCTGCCTAGCACAGAGGAACTCAGTATCTGCAGGACTGGATTAAAAAGGCAGGATATTTCCTCACAATTAAAGGCCACCAGGAGAGAGTCCTTGATCTTCAGTATTCTCAGCTGCTCCAGGAAGTTAGCAGCCGTAGGGTCAGTAGAGGCCTGAGTGGAGATGTTGAAATGTCCCTAGATATTGGAAACCTCCTGACTAATAGATCTGAGATGGGTGAGAGAGATCGAGAGTAAAGAAGGCCACAGAGACTCACATTTCCTGGAAGCTCTCTGGAGCACTACCTTGGCTCGAAGAATTAGGAAGGAGGCTGAACTGAGTCTACTCTGGTCTACCAGCATTACCCATCCTCATCACTGAGCTGTTCCAGGCAGCACAGGTGGGTGGGACCAAACCATCTTGTCGCTACAGGTGCAGCTTTTGGCCATAAGACAGCAAGTTTATCATGGGAATAGAAGAAAGAAAATGATGCCCTTAATGGGACCTAACTCTGAATATTTATTTCATGATTCAAGTTTATTATTCACATCTATGTAAATTGTTTTTATTAATCAATTTCACTAAATCACAAGTCTCATAAGTTCTTTTCATTGACTTACTGACTTTTTAAAGTGAGCTTGTTGTTTTTCAATGGGTACCAGCAATGACAGGCTTTCAGTAAATGTGATAGGTGTTTTCTTTTTTTTTTTTTTTTTTGTAATTATACTTTAAGTTCTGGGATACACGTGCAGAACGTGCAGGTTTGTTACACAGGTGTACACGTGCCATGGTGGTTTGCTGCACCTATCAACCTGTCATCTACATTAGATATTTCTCCTAATGCTATCCCTCCCCTAGCCCCACACCCGGCAACAGGCGCTGGTGTGTGATGTTCCCCTCCCTGTGATGTGACAGGCTTTATAATCCTATGTAACCAGTGTTTCCCAGGTCTCTCCAGCCTAGATACAAAATCAAGGTCACCATAACAGAAACAGGTAAGACAAACAAAACCCTGATTCCCTGGATCTGCTTCCCACCCACAATAGCAGAATCTAGCCCTGCCCTGGCCCACCCCACCTCCCAAATATCCCTGGGAGGCCCCTGGAGTGCAGTAGGATTTCTCCTCCCTGCTCCACCTGCTTCTGTGGAGCAGGCTCCCGCCCTGCTCCATGCTGTCTGCTGCTCTGGGCCTTGGCCAGCCTTCTCTGCTCCCCAGGGATGTGGGCTTTGCATTGACCCTCTGAATGTAGCTGAGTTCCTACATATGGAAACTACGGTGACAGAAGAGCTTCAACGTATTTTTCTTTCCATCTCCACTACTCAAGATTCTGGCACAAGTTTCTAGGAACAGTAGGAAGGCAGTGCAAAAGCCACCCCTCCCGTTTCACACTGAGCCATTTTCCTTGGACCAAATTTGTGTTCCCCCATTCTCTCCTTTCTTATCTTAAATTCCTTCCTAAGAGGTTTCCAGTCATTTCTATAAATGGCTCCCAGGAAGGCACCACTCCATGCAGCAGAGCAACCCAGAAATATGCCCTCCATGGAAAGCCCTCCTTTCTTGAACTGCTGCATATCAAAGTCCCCTTTCTCCTGCCAGTAAGGGAAAATGATCTGAACAAGGAGGGGTGAGATTCTCCGGAGTGAAAGTAGAATAATGCCCAGAGAAAGAAGGGGTCTCCCTCCCTAGTTCTAAAGAAAGTCAGCCACCATCTGTGACCACCCACTACCACCCTGAGCAGAGACAAAGGCACGAAAGTTTGTGTCAAAAGGCTATCACTCCAAACACTATCCCTGTACGTTTCAGGGACCCAGTGAAACACACTAGTTTCTTTAGTGTAGGTTAAACACTGCACATGTTCCCAGAAAACAGAAAAGTTTGTATGAATTCTCAACTACATGTTTTTCTGGGAACAAAATTCTCTTTTCTAACATTAAAAATTCTGTAGGATTCACAAAATCAGATTAAATGCCAGATACCAACACTGTCCTTGAATACCCCCATAACCTAGTGGAGTCAGAGACAGCTTAGCACAGCTTAGGTTCTTAAGCCACCACCCTGCCTCTTTCCTAGACACACACACATACACACAGGTGCACACACACACAGGTGCACACACACATACACTGACTTTTCTCTTATATGAATTATTTCCATCTCCAACTCTTGACTTGACATCGCATGGATCTCCCCCCAGATTCCAGCTTCCTAAGCTGTCACAGTAGGAAGGAAATTTGTTTATACAGCATCAAATCAGATAGAAATTGTCACTCCAATAAGATCGACTCATTGACACAACCCTCTGAATGCATTTTGGTGCCTTTGACTCTACCATAAAAGTAGAAAAAAAGGGGTAAGAAAGCTAGAAGAAGTAGGTAAAAGAAGCTCAAAAGGATTTGGGCTGGACTCTGGATCAGTAGAAAACGTGATGATGCTGCTTCTGACTGAATGTTTGTCTTGCAAAGCATCAGATTGGCTGAGCACTGGTATTGTCTCTTCGTTGCTGACTGAGGAAAATGTACTAGTTTCCTAATTATTACCACAAACATAGTAGAAATTTATTCTTTTCAAATTCTAGAGTCCAGATGTCCAAAATTAAAGTTTCATCAGGACTACTCTCCCTCCAGAGGTTCCAGGGAAGAGTCCTTCCTTGCTTCTTCCAGCTTCTGATGGCTCCTGGGGTTCCTTGGCTTGTGGCTGCACTACTCTACTTTCTGCCTCCACCTTCAGATGACCTCCTTCCCTAGGTCCCTTTGTCTTCTTTTCTGTCATAATGACAATGTCATTGGATTTAGGACTCACCCTAAATCCAGGATGATCTCATCTCAAGATCCTTACCTTAATTATATCTGCAAAGACTATTTCCAAATAAGGTCACATTCACAGGCATGTGGCGTAGAGGTTAGGAATGGAGCATATCTTTCAGGACCTACACCCTACAGAATGTATTTTCTACTAAACCCTGGAGAATATATTCTCACCTAACCTGATCCTCCACTTTCTCTTTCAACCAGCACAAGGAAGATTATACCAAAGGCACTTAGATCCCCCAAATAACCTGAAAGAGAGGATACCTCTGTCTCTTGAGGTAAGTGAAAAGCACACTGTAAACAGTGCCTGTGCTGGGTTTTTGTTTTGTTTTTGTTTTTATTTTTGTTTTTTTGAGATGGAGTCTCGCTCTGTCACCAGGCTGGAAGGCAGTGGTGCAATCTCGGCTCACTGCAACCTTCGCCTCCTGGGTTCAAGCGATTTTCCTGCCTCAGCCTCCCGAGTAGCTGGGACTACAGGCACGCACCACCAAGCCCAGCTAATTTGTGTGTTTCTTAATAGAAACAGGGTTTCACCATGTTGGCCAGGATGGTCTTGATTTCCTGACCTCGTGATCCACCTGCCTTGGCCTCCCAAAGTGCTGGGATTACAGGTGTGAGCCACTGCGCCTTGCCACCTGAACTGTTTTTAAGCTTCTCTAAGCATCCTGAGGCACAGAGCACAGTGCTAGAAACAGATGGCAGCATTTCTTTTAATTTTATGGAGTAAACAGAGAGGACTGGGAGAGATGAAGATTAAACAAACAGATTATAAAGACTTCTTCCCATTTACTGGCCCCTGCACCTCCACTCAAACCCCGCATAAGTCACCTGAAGAAATAGACCAAGATAGAGTATCTAGCAGGTAAATATTTGACAAGTGAATGCATAAATTAATAAACAAATTAATGGTTTTTATAAAGCCCTGAGATTTTCTTTACTTTCTTTTTTTTTTTTTTAAGACAGGGCCACACTGTGTCCCCCAGGCTGGAGTGCAGTGGCATGATCATGGCTTGCTGTACCCTTGACTTTCCAGGCTCAAAAGATCCTCCCACCTTAACTTCCTAAGCAGCTGGGACTATAGGCATGTGCCACCATGCTTCTCTAATTTTTTTTTTTTTTTTGAAGAGATAGAGTCTCACTGTGTTGCCCAGGCTGGTCTCAAACTCCTGGGCTCAAGTGATCCTCATGCCTCAACCTCCCAAAGTGCTGGGATTAAAGGCATGAGCTACCACACCCAGCCCTGAAATTTTCTGATATATAATTAATACCCAAAAGAAGTGACAAGGAAGATAATTCTATCTAGTTTCACTAGTATTTATTTTTAAAATGCCTACTTTGCCTCATATCCTGATGTTGGGTCTAAATTAAGACACTCAACAAATATGGGAGCTTAGTTCGATGATGATGGTCGTGATTAACTGATTAACAACATCAGTTAATATTCATTAAGCACTATCATGGGCCAGGCGCCGTGTTTAATGTGTGGCCATCATCAAAAACATTTTGTTTGGCCAGGTATGGTGGCTTTTGCTTATAAACTCAACTACTAAGGAGGCTGAGGCAGAAGAATTGCTTGAGGCCAGGAGTTCAAGACCAGACTGGACAACATAGCAAGACCTCATCTCCACATCCAAAAAAATAAGAAGAAGAGTAACAAGACCTAGTGGTAGGCCTAACTATAATTTCAAAGTAACAAGAAGCATAAATATTTAGAGAAACTTGCAGGAACTGTGATGTAATGTGAATACATTTGAGATTTCTATTACTGACAAATAATGGGTGCTGCTCAAACTATGGGGTCTGTTGCTACATTAATAACTGAAGGAAATGCTAAATTTCAGCCTGAAGTTAATGAAAATAAAGATGCAATTTTTATTCCCATTCAAGTTCACAGACTGCCTGAATTTTCTCCACAGATCCCTTGTCCATAGTCTCTTTGATCTGAATATAAACTGAGCCAAGCTTCCCTTTTAGTGTTAGATGTTTTTTTAATAACCTGTTCTTTAGAAATGTCAAGAGTATTGGAGAATCACTGGCAGTCAGATCATTTTCTTGTCACCTTAAAATCAAGGTCAATGTGTAAGAGGCAGCTACTGGACAGGTCCTTCTCACTGTCAGTCCTGCACACTGGAGTGGTGGCCATCCACTCATATGTGCTCAGCTATCTATCTTATCCCCAGTGTGTCCTGGGAGACACTAGTCCAGTGACATATCCCGCTTTGTGGTCAAGTGAACTCAGGAAATGCTACATCAACTCTTTGCCTCTTAGAAATTTACAATGCAAACTAGCATAGTAAAGGCTTTGAGAGGTACTACAAAGCAGTTAACCCAAACATGGCCTGACCACAGAACCACCTTCTTTCTTTTTTCCACTGTGTAACTGCTAGTTTCATTGAACAGAGAATTCACCTTGGGAAACATTTGTTTGAGTAGTGTTAAAAGTACCACAAAACAACTCCCCAACTGACTGAAATAAACCAGCTCCAAATTAAACCCATAGGCTTTTCCCAGAACAAATCCAGAACAAGCTCTAGATGGAAAAGGGAAACTATGCACCAGGGTAGTTTGTGTTATGCTCAGCAATGTATGTGCTCAGTTTAACAAAAGCCATGCTTCTTCCTATTTGCCATGAAGGAGTTCTATGGCCAAGTTCTACCTGCTGAGTAAATACCCTTCTCATAATCACCACCAAACCATAGCAATCACAGTGGGTCAATATGACTTCAGTGATCTGATTTATTAATTAGTACTCTTGTTTTAAGTAACAGAGCCCACTGTAGTGATCCTAAGCATAAAGGCAATTCATCAGAAGGTGAAAGGTCATCTCACAAACCAGATAGAATGCAACCAAGTCACTTTAGGAGAGTAATGAACCCAGGGATTGCACAACTAGTAGGGCTTGGCTCTCAGCCTTCCTCCCTCCTTCTCCCTTCTCCTTTTCCCCTTCCTCCTCCCTCCTTCCTTTTGCCTCCTTTTCACCCCCCTCTTGTCACTCTCTCTCTCTCCCTTCTTTGCTTGTCTTCACTTTTCATTCTCTAATTCTAGCATGCTTTTCCTCTAATACAAGTGCATATACTCTCCCCCACCTTCACTGAATTGCTTCTTCAGTGAATTCCATAGTGTTGACTGGCTTTCTTTGATTTTGCATATGGCAAAAAAAAAAAAAAACCCATGGCTACCATGAGCTCCTGAGTTACCAGTAAAACCACAAATGAGACTGAATTCTGTCTGGTTCAGCTTGGGTCAGGTGGCTTCCCTGGCTTGCCAGGAGCCATGTCTATGATATAGTGAAGATCAGGGTCCACAAACAGGGAAGAGAGGATGAAATACAGACAACCTGCATTGATGACATCTGGAAAACTACTTAAACAGAGCAAAGACTTGCTTAGTTGATCACACACACGTTATTAATTCCATTACTGTTAATAACTTAAATTCTTGCTTCAGGCTGGAATATAATAAGAAGTATATGTGGCAAAATGTGCTCATTCCCCCTTCTCAACTAAACACCTGGACAAAGGCATCTTAGAAACAAAATCATCAGGATAAAAGAAAGAATTACTCAGATGCAATGGTTAATAATTAATAATCATTCCACCCACACACGAGGATTCCACCTTTATTGTTAATGAGCTAAGGACTCAAGGGTTACATATTTTCTGTGTGTATTTTTTAAATTTCTTTTCAAGCATTCAATAATTATTCTCAAATTATCCTTCAATATGAGCAAGAGGCTACAGAAAAGATGGTTATTCTCTCATAAGCATTCACAACATGATCCCAATACACGCCAGACTCGCCTCTGCCATTTTCTCACACCCACCTGTGTTCCAGCCACACAGAATGTCTTGCTCTTCCCAAGCTATGGAATATTGTTTATCTGAAATTCAAATTGAACTGAGTGTTCTCTATTTTTATTTACTAAATCTGGAAACCTACCCAGATCACACTTTGCCCTCAAAGCTCCCGGAGTTTGTCACGCTACGCCTTTCACTTAGGATGCCGTCCACCAGTCCCCTCCCCCGGATAAATTCAGTCTCCAAAAAAGGGAGGCTTAGAGTTTAGTGGAATGAAGTGGAAAATAGAGTATAGCACACATAGGTTAATCCTTGTCTTGTCAAGCTTAAGTTTCTGTGTGTGTGTGCGTGTGTGTGTGTGCATGTGCTGATTCAGTGTAAAATGTATTTTTTATTGTTAAGTTATGGTTAAAGTAGAATGAAAGCCTCTGAGCAACCTCTGAGCAAACCTCTGAGCAACCTCAGGATCAGCTGTAATTCTCAGTTATTATTTCTTGTGATCTCCTAGCATTCCTTTCAAACATTTTCAATGGCTCCTCATTTCATACATAGGCTTTCCATAATCTGGCCCCAACCTCTTACCCATCTCATCTCACAGCTAACTCCATTACACAAACCATCCACCTCAGATAAATGGCCTGCTTCCTTCCCTGAATCTATGACACACACTCTGTTTCATAAATTGTGTTTGCCTTCTCCCACAGTCACTCCACCACCCCTGCCAAACCCGGCCTCTCTCCTCTTTCCTCTCTCCTCTCTCCTCTCCTAAGGCTCACACTTACTTAAAGCTCAAGTTATGTTTGTGTAACCTTAAACAAGGCACTTCCCATCTGAGCACAGGGTCTTTGTTGACAGAATCAGGGAATTGGGGGAGAGATCTGGCAAGATGGCCAAATAGGAACAGCCCAAGTCTGCACCTCCCAGTGAGACCAACGCAGAAGGTGGATGATTTCTGCATTCCTAACTGAGGTACCCTGTTCATCTCATTACAGTGATCAGTGGTTTTTATTCCAGGGATGCAAGGATGGTTCAACATATGTAAATCATATGTAAATCAATAAATGTGTTTCACCATATAAAGAAAATTAAGAACAAAAAACATATCTCAATAAATGCAGAAAAAGCATCTGATAAAAATCCAACATCCCTTCATGATATAACTAGACATTGAAGGAACATACCTCCAAATAATAAAAGCCACACATTACAAACCCATGGCCAACATCATACTGAAAGGAGAAAAGCCAAAAGCATTTCCCCTATGACCTGAAACTGAACAAGCCTGTCTACTCTCACCTCTCCTATTCAACATAGTACTGGAAGACCTAGCCAGAACAATCAGGCAAGAGAAAGAAATAAAAGGCATCCAAACTGAAAAAAAAATAAAAGTCAGATTATCTCTTTTCACTGATGACATGATCCTATACCTAGAAAACCCTAAAGATTCCTTAAAAATACTCCTAGACATAATAAATGACTTCAGTAAAGTTCAGTAAAGTTTCAGAATACAAAACCAATGTACAAAAATCAGTAGCATTTATATACCCCAATAACACTCAAGCTGAAAACCAAATCAAGAATTCAATTCCATTTACGATAGCTACATATAATAAAACTAAAATTAAATACCTAGGAATATATTTAACCAGAGAGGTTAAAGATTCCTACAAGGAGAAATACAAAACACCAATAAAAGAAACCATAGACGACACAAACAGAAAAACATCCCATCTGGGCACAGTGGCTCGTGCCAGTAATCCCAACACCTTGGGAGGCCAAGACAGGAGGATCCATTGAGCCCAGGAGGTTGAGACCAACGTGGGCAACATAGAGAGACCTTGTTTCTACAAAAAAATTAAAAATTAGCCAGCCATGGTGGCTAACACTTGTAATCCCAGCTACCTAGGAGGCTGAGGCAGGAGGATTGCTTGAGTCTGGGAGGTTGAGGCTTCAGTGAGCTATGATTGTGCCACTGCACTCCAGCCTGGTTAACAAAGTGAGACCCTGTTTCAAAAAAAAAGAAAAAGAAAAGAAAAATATTCCATGCTCATGAATTGTGAAGAATCAATATCTTTAATATGGCAATAATTTATTGCCCAAAGCAATCTGTGGTTCAGTACAGTTCCTATCAAATTACCAACGTCATTTTTCACAGAAAAAGAAAAAACAATTCTAACACTCATACAGAACCAGGAAAGAGCCAGATTAGCAAAGCAATCCTAAGCAAAAGAAAAAAGCTGGAGGTATCACATTACCTGACTTCAAATCATACTACAAGGCTGTAGTAACCAAAACAGCATGGTACTAGTATAAAAATAGACACATAGATCAATGAAACAAAATAGAGAACCAGAAATAAAGCCACATACCCACAACCAGCTGACCTTTGACAAAGTAAACAAAAATAAGCAATGGGAAAAGGGCACCCTATTCCATAAAAGGTGCTGGGAAAACTGGCTAGCCATATGCAAAATAATGAAATTGGACTCCTATCTCTCATTTTCTACAAAATTACTCAAAATGAACTAAAGACTTAAATGTAAGACTTGGAACTATAAAAATCCTAGAAGAAAACCTAGAAAATAAATACTCTTTTGGACACTGGCCTAGGCAAAGAATGTATGACTAAGGCCTCAAAAGCAAATGCAACAAAAACAAAAACAGATAAATGGGGCTTAACTAAACTAAAAAGCTTCTGCATAGAAAAAAAAAAGATTAAACAGATAACCCACAGAATAGGAGAAAAATTTGCAAATTATGGCTCCAACAAAGGACTAGTATCCAGCCTCTACAAGAAACTCAGACCCCTCTACAAGAAAAAAAAATGACCCTATCAAAAAGTGGCCAAAGGACAAGAACAGACATTTCTCGAAGACATACATGCAACCAACAAATATATGAAGAAATGTTCAACATCACTAATCATCAGAGAAATGCAAATTAAAACCACAATGAGACATCATCTTACACGAGTCAAAATGGCTATTATTGAAAAGTCAAAAAATAGTAGATGTTGGTGTGGATGTGGAGAAAAGAGAACACTTACACACTCTGGTTGAGAACGCAAATTAGTAAAACCTCTATGGAAAACAGTATGACGATTTCTCAAAGAACTAAACATATAACTACCATTTGACCCAGTAATTCCACTACTGAGTATCCACCCAAAAGAAATCATTACATAAAAAAGATAACTGCCACCAGGTGCAGGGGCTCACACCTGTAATCCCAGCACTTTGGGAGGCTAAGGCGGGTGGATCACCTGAGGTCGGGAGTTCGAGACCAGCCTGACCAACATGGAGAAACCCCATCTCTACTAAAAAATACAAAATTAGCCGGTGTGGTGGTGCATGCCTGTAATCCCAGCTACTGGGGAGGCTAAGGCAGGAGAATCGCTTGAACCTAGGAGGCGAAGTTTGCGGTGAGCTGAGATCGAGCCATTGCACTCCAGCCTGGGCAACAAGAGCGAAACTCTGTCTCAAAAAAAAAATACATATATAAGAAAATAACTGCAAGTATATGTTTATCACAGCATTTTTCACAATAGAAAAGTCATGGAATCAACCTAAGTGTCCATCAACAGATTGAAGAAAATGTGGTACATATCCACCATGGAATATAATGCAGCTTTAAAAAAGAATAAAGTCATGCCTTTTGCAGCAACATGGGTGGAACTGGAGGCCATTATCCTAAGAGAAGTAACTCAGAAACAGAAAGCCAAATATCACATGTTCTCACTTATTAGTTGGAGCTAAACAATGGGCACATACGGACATAAAAGATGGAAATAATAGACACAGACTACAAAAGCAGGGAGAGTGAGAGAGGGGTGAAGGTTGAAAAATTCTCTATTTGAGTGGTGGGTGCATTAGAAGTCCAAACCCCACCATTATACAACATATCCATGTAATAAACACGCGCAGGTACCCCCTGAACCTAAAACAAAAATAATATAAAAAAATTTTAAGGCAAATTTAATAAGTAAAATATACAGTATTTTGAATGGTGATATTGCTATAGAAAAAAAAGCAACATGTACAACTTGTTTACACCTTTACTCAAACATGTTAACTGTAACAAGACGTCTTTGAGATAACTGGGAAATTTGAATATGGACTGGTCTTATACAGTACTATTGTTAGATATGATGATGGCATGGTGTCTGTGTTTAAAAAAGATATTTATCTATTAAAGGTGAATACTGAAGTATTTATGGATAAGATTGCAAAATGTTGATAATTATTGGTGTCGGATGATAGATACCCAAAGAAGGGCCTTTATACTAATATCCTATGTATTTATATTTCTAATTTTGTGTATGTGGACCGTGGAAAAGAACATTCCAGGCATAAGTTGGAGCTAGTGCAGAGCCCTGGAGTAGGAATATGGCTGGCATGTTCAAGGAATAAGAACTCTAGTAGCTAGAAAGGGACGATCCATGGGTAAAATAGCAGGAAGTGACATCAGAGAGTTAACAGGGATGAGGGAGGAGAGAGGAAATACAGGGACATATCAAATAAAGAATACTTAAAATATTTAAAGAATACCCATAAACCAATAAGAACAATACCAGCAACCCAACAGAAAAATGGGCAAAATACTGAATAGGCACAACACAGAAAAAAAATATGTCCAATAAGCATATTAAAAGGTGCTTTATTTCATTAGGCACTGGAAAATGCAAATTAAAACCACAATGCTATACCAGTACACACGTACAGACAGGCAGGCAATATTAGATATTCACATTGGTGGGTGGGTGAATTGGTACAAACTGCAATGTCTACTAAAACTAAAAATATGCATACCTTATAAGCCAGCAACTCTATTTCTAGGTATAAATAGCCAACAGAAAGCCAGGTATATGCTTACCAAAAGACCTGAATGTTTATAGCAACACTCTTCTTAGCATCCACAGTGAGAACTACCCAAATGCCCAAGAACAGTAAAATGGATAAACAAATTGTGTTACAGTCGTACAATGGGCATTTAGAATAAACAATATAGAAAAATCTCAGGAAAATATTGAGTGAAGGAAGCAGACACAAAGGATTCAATACTGTCTGATCCCATTTATGTGAAGTTAAAAAACAAGTGAAACTATGCTGTCAGAATATAGAATAGTGGTTATCACTGCAGAGAAGGTGACTGAAAAGGGGATTGGGAGGCTGGTGGGGGTGTGTAAAGGCCTGTTTCTTATTCTGGAGGCTAGTTAGATGAGTTCAATTTGTGAACAGTCACCAAGCTGTAGGTGGACAATTTGTGCACTTTTCTGTATCACGCTTTAATAAACCATGTTTAAAATCATATAGGGGCATCTTGGTTTCCTCCCCTGAGGTGCCAGTGACATATCCAGTACCTCGAAGTCCCCATCCCATGCTAAGTGAAACGTGCTTTCTCAACACACAGCTGCAATCTCTACATTTAAAGATACTGAAACTGATATAGCGGGTTCTCTGGCTCCTGGAAAAGATAAGTCTACTACAAAGAAACTAGGCAAAACTTTAAATAATATGATAACAGCTATCTTCCCCTAAATGTTATAGAGTTAATAATGTACCTTATTGTGACTTATACAATAGAACGTATTTGTATAGTATTGTAATGCCAGTTAAGTTGTAGCATCATTATGACACCAATCATTTACAATTTAAAGGAAAATAAAATATTTTAATTGATTATGGGCTCTTTAAAAGCCAAAAATTATTAAACCCTTCAAACTAGAAAAGACCACTGAAACATCCTACAGGTTTTAATTTCCAATAAAGTAAATACTGATAACTATAACCCACATAAAAAGCTCTTTGGGGTCCTCAATAATTAGTTTTAGAGTAAAAAGTTCTTGAGACCAAAATGTGAGAAAACCACGTGAATTAATCCCAGCCTTGTTATTAGATTTATTTCTTCCTATGCCCTCATAAGGAAGCATTGCTTTGGAATTCCAAGATGTATGTAATTCCCTGGCTTGGCTGAGGTTGCCAGTTCTAGTTCTTTATTCTTTTTACTCAATTTTTCCTTTCAGTTTGTTGCTTTTTCTTACTTTTTGTCCAGCATTGTGCTTTAATTCCATTATAGAGATCCATTCTTCAGGTGAACTATGCAAGTGATTTTCTTTTCAAGTGATTTGAACCAAGCGTCTTACCAGTTTTTCCCGAAATTAAGCTGACCTGGGACACCTTGACTCCAAGCCCAGCAGTAAGTCTCACATGCCACAGGGCCTCTCAGCCATCTCTGCTGAGAAGGGACCCTTACTGGCAGCTAGGATCCTTGAGACCATCGTCAAGGGCAACCTGGCTAAGGTAAGGTTGGCCTGGGACCTCTTAACTGGGAAAGCAGCAGCTGTGAAGTTCATTGATGAGACTCAGCAGATCTCCTCCAGACACCATCCACAAAGTAGGAACCATGAAGGCTCGGATCACCCCAACATAGTGAAACATTTGCTGTGATCGATATTGAGGAATCTCTTTGCTTTGTCATGAAGCACACTAGCCAGGAGGAGAAGTTTGTGAATACCTGCTCATGGCAGCAGGAAAGAAAAAAAAAGGACTGAAGCAAATTCTACCAAAAGTGTCTGCTGTGCAAGCTGTCACCAGAAACGTATTGTCCACAGAGATTTAAAGGCAGAAAACACGCTCTTGGATGTTAACACAAACATCAAGATTGCAAATTCTGGCTTCAGCAACAAATTCAGCTTTTACAAACTGGATACCTTCTGTGGCAGTCACCTCTGGTCAGCAGATCCCTGCTTTTGATGGACAGAATTTCAAGGAGCTGCAGGAGGGGAACTGAGTAGAATATATTCCCTTCTACATGTCCATTGAGTATAAAAACCTGCTCAAAAAATGTATCCTTCTCAATCCCAGCAAGAGAGGCCCTTCAGAGCACATTGTGATGGATCCATGAATGATTAGGAAGCATGAACAGGAACTTAAGCCCCGGACCTCCGCCATACTGAATCATGGCGTCCATGGGTTACGGACAGGAAAGATCCAGGACTCCCTGTGAAGTGTGATGAAGCAGCGATCGCCTACCTGCTTCTGGGTTCTAAGAGATCCGAACTGTAAGGTTACCCCATCACCTAAAACCCCCACTGTCAGCTGATCTGACCCACAGTGGTGCGCCTTCCCTATACCAGGGTCTCTGCCAGCCCCGAGCAGCAGCGTTTCAGCAACCTGCCTTTCCCATCTTTCACGGCCTCTCTAAGAAGACTCAGAGGAGCCACAAAGATCCTAAGCGGGATCAAGAGACAGAGCAGAAAGGCAGCACTGCGCCCGCCAGCCCCGTACTCGCCTGGAGGGGACGAACCCCGCCCCCTCTGTGAATAGCGACCTCTTACCAAAACCAAAAAAGAGCAGGAATTCCTCACTCGGGGCAAAAGCCAGTTTGGCCAGACCTCCACGCAGAACGACAACAGCAGCCCCACAGCGCTGGGCCTGGGGCCTCCTGGGTTCCTGCCTCTCACCCCCCGCCTTCGTCTCCCCGGCCACCAGCCCGGGAATCCCAGTCGGTCTCCTTGCAGCCCAACCAGGTCTCGGTGTCGTACCCCACGGAGAGCAGCTGGGGGGTGCCCGCCAGGTACAGCTCCCCAGAGTGCCCCTGATACCTCCCTTCCACCCGCGTCATCAGCGCAGGGGGCAGAGCAGAGCCCCCGATGGGACAAGGTACGCGCGGCCTGGCAGCCCGACAGGTGACGGCCCCGGAAATGCGGCCCAACCGGGTGACCCCAGCCTCTCCCTCAAACAAAGGCCGCAGACAGCAGGGGGCCGCCGGGAGCTTCTTCAGCAAGTTCAGGTTCAAGTTCACAAGCTGGACTCTTAGCTGCGGGTTTGCCCAAAGGAACCTGAAAGAACCTGAAAGCAAAGACGGGGGAGGACACTCCGACCTCACATGGGGGCAGCAGAGGCAGTGATTTAAAAATGGCTTTCCAGAGACCCAGCCGCGCTCCCTGCCCTTGAGGCGGAGGCTGGAGGTCGCGAGTCGGTGGAGCCCCGCTCGGTGCTGCGGAGACTGCAGTGGCGGCTGGGACCCGGAGCCGTGGGCGAGGCCGGCGCGAAGAACTAAGGGAGGACTCAGGCGACAACTCCAGCAGCCTCTCCACTTGGTCCCCCGAAGCGCCGGTCCAGAAGCTCCTCGGCCTCCACGAGCGTCGCCACCCAGGTCACCACGCCTGGGGGCCGAGAGGTTCAGCTGCTCGCACCCGGGCCCCGCATCTTGGTCCCGAGCGTCTTCCCCGGGCCTTCTCCCCTCTCTTGCCGGTCTCCGCCTTCCCTTCCGCCTTCCTGCGCTGCAAAATAAACAAAGACTAGTCTGAACAGAAGGAACAGGCGTTCAGAGCGCCAGCTCCCCCACCACCCCTCCGTTTCTCTTCCCACTGCTGCCCCTTAGTTGCGTGAGTCTGGGCTCCAGCGAGTTCACAGCAGCGACTGCTCCCACCCCACCCCGCTGTCTCTCCCCTCTGTTTTCCTGGCCTTCACTTCCGGACGGTGTCCCCCCTCCATGGGCGTGGGACAAGCAGAGCAAAGTGGCGCCCGTCTGCTAACTCCAGGCCGGCATGGGAGTGGATGGTTGTGGCCACTTGGATGGTGGTAGCCCCTTCATCTCTCAATTTATTTTTCTGCTGTTGCTGTTCTTGAGAAACTGAGGCGCAGACCAAGAGATCCCCCTCCCCCGGCTCTTCCTGTCTTCAGCTCAGAGGGGTCCAGGAGAAAATGACTTGGCTCTTGAAGCAGACAGGGGCTGGGGCACCCTAGCAAGTGGCTGGCCCCTCCCTGCCCAGCATCTCCTCTTGAACTTAGGTTCTCCTAGGGATCGAAGGCGTAATAAAGAGAATGCGATTTTTCGGAGGAAGCGGGTACCATGTATGGCCTTTAGGCTTCTATAAGGACTTTTACTCTGAGAGAATGAGGTTTTCACAGAGAATTGACATGATCTGATTATGTTTTAACAATATCCCTGTGTTTGATAAAGTGTTTACAGGGACAAGGACAGGAGTAGGCAGACCCTAGGAAATACGGCCATGGTCCAGGCGACATGATGGTGGCCTGGACCAGGCTTGTGGAAGCAAGTGTGGGCATAGGACCCTGTGGCTGGAGGCTGGTGCCTGCTGAATTCACTTTCTGAGGGCCCTCCAGTAGGACTCTCTCTGCCTCCCAGGCCCAGTATGGCCTTACTTCCAGTTCTGTGCCTCCCAGACTCCCTCTTCAGCTGATACCAGAAGATTCAGGTAGCAGAGGCCAAAGAGAGTAATATGAGATTTAAGTTAATAAATACATAACTAAAGGAGATGACATAGAGGAAGAGAAGGTCATCCATTCATCAGCTGCAAGCAACAGAAACCAACTCAGGTTAATTTCAATGGGAAAGGTGTTTGTGATAATGATATTGGGTGGATTACATTGCCAGCATGTATGAAGAGCCAGGTTCTATGAAACACAGGCTCACCAAGACATGACACAGCTCACCTAATGTTGACATCCCTACCAACACTAACAAGCAAAAGACTCTACAGCCTGCACCACCAACCCCTCCACTACTGCACTGTGACACTGCCTCTAGCTCTGCTGCCACAGCTGCACTAGGAATTCAGTCTGAATGGAGGCTCTCAGTCCCTGCTTCTTTGAGTTACTGGTTCCTGCTTCCATGGCTGAATCTGATTAGTGGAATGTACCTCACTTGGTCATGTCCTAGCTCCAAGGGAGTCTAGGCAAGCAAGAGTTTGGCATTTTCATCTCCCATTGGGTGAGGCAGTCTCTCCTCCACACTATGGCTAATAATGTTGAAAAAGATTCCAAACATACACTGGATTTTAGATGCTAAGCAGAGCTAAAAATTCACAAATGTCCATAAGAAAATGTAAATCAGATTGGGACCAGTGAATGTCCTATCTATAATATTACTAGACTGATTTCCTTCTGTGGCTGTGATCCACAGTACCAGAAGGAAATTATAAAAATATAAAAATGTTCCATTTTGTTTGTAAGTGATTTAGCCTTCTGAGAAAACTCAATGATTAATATTTATTTGGGTATTTGTTTAAATATTATTGTCGACATGATAAATTTTTTATAAAACGTGTGTGATATATGTATATATGTAGGTATAGATATGTATGGATAGACACATGATAGATAAGACACTCAAACACTGACAATATCATTATATCATTTGACACTCATCTTGATCCAGCTATAACTAGAGCTAAAAAAAACTCTTGGAATTTCCAGGTATTGAAACAAATAAATTACCTTTTGTGTTTCAGCTAGTTTGAGATGACTTTCTGTGTCACTTGTACCCAACAGAGTCTGGAATAAAAAAAAAATTTAAATATTATTGATACTTAACATTTGTTTATTCTATTTGGACTTATAAATGGACTTATATGAGAGATTTTTAATTAGTATCAGAAGTAAATGAGTTAATAAAAACTGAAATGATTGTAGATTTATTTTTATAACTTTTATGTCTACAGCTATGATAAATTTTTATATTTTAAATTTCTATATATACAGTTTTTTTGTTTTTTGTTGTTGTTGTTTGTTTGTTTCTTTTTTTTTTTTTTGAGATACAGTCTTGCTCTATCACCCAGGCTAGAGTACAATGGCATGATCTTGGCTCACTGCAACCTCCACCTCCCAGATTCAAGTGATTCTCATGCCTCAGCCTCCCAAGTAGCTAGGATTACAGGCATGTGCCACCACGCCCAGCTAATTTTTGTATTTTTGGTAGAGATGGGGTTTCATGATGTTAGTCAGTGGATCTTGAACTCCTGGCTTCAAGTGATCTGCCCGCCTAGGCCTCCCAAAGTGCTGGGATTACAGGCATGAATCGCCACACCCCAACATAAATTTTCTATATTTTTAAGGTATAGTTTCTCCTAATGTGTGTAGGTAGGACATAATCATGCTTTACAAAAAGGAGAGATGTTCTGCTGGATTTTGAAAAATTATTTTTAAGTTCCAAGCAAGACAGGTTCTATTTGTTCCTGGAAAGGTAATTGTTTTGACATAGATTTAATGTCATTGTGTGAAGAAAGAATATATTTTAACACTTAAGCTACTTATATGTGAGGAAAAGGAGTAAGGAAGATAAGTTTTTGATTAAATAAATATAGTAATAGCATAAAATTAAGGCTCAACTATGCATCAGACTCTAGGGCTGATACCATCTTATCCTTAACACAGACATACCACACACATAGTTACTTTGCCCTAAGGATTCTAGAGCACTAAAATAGTGTATAAAAATGTATATAAGGCCAGACACGGTGGCTCAAGCCTATAGTCCCAGCATGTTGGGAGGTCAAGGTATATGAGGTCAGGAGTTTGAGACAAGCCTGGCCAACATGGAGAAACACATCTCTACTAAAGATACAAAAATTAGCTGGGCAGGGTGGTGTCCATGTAATTCTAGCTACTCAGGAGACTGAGGGATGAGAATTGCCTGCACCCGGGAGGCAGAGGTTGCAGTGAGCAGAGATTGGGCCACTGCACTCCAGCCTGGGTGACAGTCAGACTCCATCTCAAAAAAATAAAAAATAAATGTATACAAGAATGTTATGAGACACTTCCCACTAATCATCAGAAAATGAACATGGACATATACCTTTACTCCCTCCCATAGCTCACTATAAGGATCCTAAAGATATTAATTTAAAAGGTCAAACCACAGAATGAATAGAAGTGGCAAAGAGACAACAGCAATACAATTTTGGAAGCAACAATGCAGATGTTTTATTAGCAGTTTTTAGCAAAGATGAGAAAGCGAAAACCTAAGCCAGCAGTGGCAGAAATATAAACAGAGTAGTTTCTGCTGCAAATCCCTCAAAAGCCCTGAATTGGAGGTGGCATGTGCCCAATGGTGGAACAGGTAAGATGAAAAATAGGGGAACTGGAAGTCTCAATACTTAGCAGTCCATATCCACTCCCCACTGGCAGTAAACTGGTTTATTCTCCAGAGATGTCAATTCAGCAAAGCTCTGGACTTTAGGACCAGAGTCGCCCTAAAGGCAGTAAGACTGTTCTGAAAACCAGGGAGCAAGTGACAGGGTACATTCCAAACAGACTATTTGACCCCCTTATCGATAAGGATCCCAGAATATTGATGGCTAATTTAGGGTGCAGCATTCAGGCTTGGTTTATTTTCTTCTTTCTATATGTTTTTCATTCTTTACAATGAACATATATGATGTACGCAGTTTTAAAAAATCTAGGAGGTGAATAATTTTCAACCCAGAATTCTATATCCAGCCAAACTATCTGTTGTGCTACTCCAAAATATAAAGGATTATTGAGCTGCAGGTAATTAAGAAGAAGCAGATGCAGAGAAGCTCTCTGCCATCCCTCTATTTGCCTAAAAGCAGGACATACAAAAACTAAAAGTATTCTGCCTCCCTTCTACCAGGGAGACCAAAAGATAACCACATAAGACAACTTTAAACTGTTACCACCTGGAGATGATACCAGGGAAATCTCCATTAACAAACATTACTAGCTAGCCTTTATTTGCTATGCATTTGCCTTCCCACAAGTTGCCACTCCTAAAGTTCTTTTCCTTTACCTCTCCAGAAATTTGCTGTTCATTATTGAAGATGCTATATCAGCCAGAATTCAAAGCCAATTCTGAGAACTACTCATTCCCTGGGTGTCTCTGGTGTATGTATGAAATACACATGTTAATACACTTCTGTTTTTCTCTTGTTGATCTGTCTTGTATTACAGAAGTTCATTTCAACTAAGAACTTACTGTTGAAGAAAATGATTACTCTTCCTCTATACAACCAATTATGAGAGTAGATTGAAACATTTATCTCACATGCAAGGCCTCATATTTACCTCCAGACATGCTATAGCAGAGCCTTCTGAAAGATGCACTCTATCAAAATGAAGGCGTACTACCAGAAAGAAAACCAGCCACATATTCACAGAAATAGGGGATCCAATATATGAGAGAAAAAAATTGAATTGTCAGGATAACAGTAAGAAAACATCTCAGGGCCTACAGAATAAGTAGTCCAGATTGGAACAGGAGAAAAGAGGGGTTCAGAAGCAAAGAATGCCTTCCGTAGGGCCGACTCATCCATTAGGCTGAGTAGGCATAGTGCTTGAGGGCCCATGACGCTGTTAGGAATTTACAAAAATGTCGTCATTTTAATTTCCTTTAAAATTAGGAGATAAAATTAATATAATAACAGTGACTATATGATAATAAATCCACCCTGATCATATTTACCTTTATACCAACGTGGCTGTAAAATAATTTTTATTTTTTATGGAGGAAGGAGCTCATGAAGGCAATGTACCTAGGACCGTGGCCTCCAGGAAAAAAAGGAAAATAAAAGAAACTGGATAGTTTCATTTGAATGTATCAAAAGGCACTTAAGACTTGTCAGAATTTGGCAGAATGAACTGATAATAACTACTTAGAAAACTAACTAAACAAAAATCAAGGCAATGCATAGTCAAGGAAAAACAAAAGCAAAGGTCTACAAAAAAGAAGTAAACCTAATACACTACAAGTTCATCTGTGAATAATATTTACATTGTCAAAATAAACACTAAACACTGATAAGATTTTTAAAAATATGATATTGCAAGATTAAGAAATGAAAGAAGAAGCTACATGCCCAGTTGTAAGACAGCCAACTCCTCATCTTTTGTAGAAGAAAGGCAATAGATAAGAACCAAACTGAAAAATAAATAGTATGAGAGGTATATTATAGGCTTGTGACAGTAAACAATAGAAAAAAAAACAGTTAAAAGAGATGAAAGTTGTTGCCTTTGGAGAGTGAGAATCAGAGATGGAGAAGAGTGGATAATGGTGTAATTTGCATTACATGACATACAACTTTTTGACTTTATGAACAAGAACCTAAGTTACCTTAATGAAATTTACAATTAAAGAACTTTAAGGATTGTTGAGAGTTAATATAATTAAATGAAGAATTTTCTACTTTTCTAAGTGTTTATGTATTAATTTTTTTAACATTTAAGAAGTGTGAAAAATGATTGAATTACATGGTAGCCTACTTAGATGCCATGAAAGATGTGCTCATGGGACATTAAAGAGATTGAGTAGACTGTGAGGCCAAAGTGAAATTCCAACCTGATGGAAGTGAACAGGGAATACTTCAAAAAGAGAAGAATGACTGAAAATGAGGAAAGTGAAAAATGCTAAAACTGGTTAAACAGAAGGGTCAGGAACAGTCAATATGTTATAGTCAGTATGGAAGAATACAATATACATTATGTATATGAGCTTTTCATGAGAAGACATGGGGGAAGAGTTAAACAATAGAATAACAACCATAATATTTTATTAATAACTATTATGAGCTGCTAAAATGGCATATATTTGGTAGGATATTAGTATATAAAAAAGGCTTGAGGTATTTAAAAATCTGTTCCCAGAAAATTATCCCCAAAAGTCAAAATATATATTTCATAGTTCTTTTAAATCCCTGACTTTCCAGCCACATATTCATACCACAATGCTGCACACTAAGCTGTAGATGGTTGAGTGATATGGTTTTGAAAAGATAATAAAAGAAAATTGAAAAGACACTCTTAGGTAAAACAAAAAGAAAATATTTCTCTCAGACAATTTAAAACTTAGGTAGTATAAGATAATTAGGGTTTTTAAAGAAGTCACTTTACAGAAGAAAGGAAATAAAAATTTTGCTGACCATGGCATATTTAAGAAAAAAAATCCAAGCAAAGAGGGGAAGAGTTATGATGAGCAGTGAGCAGTGAGGTATAAGCCCAACACTTTTCAGCCCACTGAAGTGTCCTGCCTACAGAACTCAAGGCAATTTCAGACTTCCTATCGACTGACATAGGTTTGGGGGTGCGGGAAATGACTCAAATGCTGCCCAAAATATATTTTTAAAAACTTTTTCCCTGATAAGCTTTTTAAGCCAGATAATGAAACCAAGTTGTTCGTGTTTCATATTTGAGAATCTAAGTACTGGATAAATAATAAGGGCTATCAATTATTGGGGGCTTTAATAATTCTTCAAACATTTAATGAGTGTCTTCTGGGTGCCAGGCGCTGGGACTATAGCTGTAAACTAAACAGGTGGCTACCTCCACAGAGTTTATAGTCTAAGGATTAAAAAATTAGACCTTGCACAATAGTGGGAGGAGACGGGGAAGTAAGGCCACCGTTGGAAGGTGGAGAATTGGAGAAAAGTCTCTATTCACCTCTCCTGAAGTAGTCAAGTGAAGGAAAAGTCACAGGTTACATATAGAGAACTGGGAACATCCAGTTGCAAGAGTGAGACCACAACAGGAGCTGGCGAAGAAGTGCATGGAAGGCTGTTGCCTCTGCATTGACTGTGGGTTTGGGGCTGCTGTTGGTCAGCAAGGCAGGCAGAAAAGGACACCAGCTGGAGTCAAGACAGAGGCAGGCGAGGACAAGCTAGAGCCCACAAGCAGTACATCTACACTTCTCTCCTTCCGCACCAGCTACACAGAGTAACGGTTACTCTTTCACTTCTGCTTCCCAAATCTGGCATAGATATATCTTTTGGCCAAACCTGATATGGAGACATAATGGAAATGAAGTTCTAGCTTAGGCCAGTTGATACAAAACCAGCACGGTCCATCCCTTGTCAAATTGGCGGCCGAGAGCACCTCCTTTTACCATATTTAATTTCCAGTAGCAAAATCTTGCTTCAACCTAAGGTGCAACTAACCCTGCTACAACTAGAAACACCCTAAACCTCTCTCCAATGAGGATATGAAGTCCCGTAGGACTTACCGCATAGGTCACTTTATCTTTGGGGAAAGTTCATCCTTTTCTAGCTGAGTCACACTGCCCTTTTAATATCCTGAGATACATGCTGAACTACAATACTATTGACACGTTTTATGTTCAATAGTAGAATGGATGGAGGAAGAGAAAGAAAATGAACCAGTATTATATTTGCAAAATGAAAATCAATCCTTCTGAAATATTTAAACGGTTTCTGCCTTTGTAGGAGACCGTTTGGTAACGTATCGAAATCCATAACGGCCGTGATTGGCGCGCAAGCGCGGGGCTGCCCAGGGGCCCTCCTTGCCTCCCGCCTTATGGGCCCGGAAGGTCCTTCTTTCCCCTAGCTTGGACTCCAGCTCCTGCCCGCGGAGCTTGGTCTAGCTGCGGGAAGCATTGAAGCACAAGGAGAGTACTTTTGCACAATGACCTCCAAATTTTACTTTGAGGACTTTATCATAGTGAAACTACCATGGCTGTAGCTTATATCGGTTTTTTTTTAAATGAAAATAACCTAATTATGCAACAGCGGGAGGGTTGCTTGAGTAAATTATTGTTAACTCCAAATGACAGAATAATGTATGAAACAATTAAAAATAATTTGTTAAAACAATGAATGACTTAGAAAGATTTTTATTATTAAGTGAGAATAAAAGCAGAAACCTAAAAGATATATTCAGTATGAGCTCATTTCTGTAAAATGATGTATTTTACAGAGGAGAATAAAGTTTAAAGCATGCAAACCAACGTGGTAACTGTATTAAACCTACTTAATAACAAGAAGCTATTCATAGTAAATAAGTTGAATTTATAGAAAGAAATTTACTATGAGGACAAAAAAGGATAAACAGGAAAATATTTGCAAAACAGATAATCTAACGTATAACCAGTTCCTTCAATTAAATAAGAAAATAAGAATCCAATAGCAAAAATGAGGACATGTTTAGAAAAAGAAATAAAACATTTTAAACATGTGAAGTGTTTTATTTCATTTCTGCTAAGAAAAAGCAAATTAAAACAAAAATCTAATATTATTTTAACCATCAGAAAGCTTGACACATTGAGTTGACAAGAGTAAAGGAAAACAGGCATCCCGATATATTGCCAGTGGGAGTAGAAATTGCTGACACCTCTATGAAAAAAATACGCAAGCCAAAATTTTCAATAATGTGCCCCTAAACCCAACAATTTTACTTTAAAGTGTAGACATTCATTGCAGCATTTTTTATAATCTGAAAAAAACAGAAACAAATGTACAGATAAGAACTGGTTAAATAAATTATGGCAAAGCCATACAATGAAATACTCTGTGATGATTAAAAATAGTAAGGCACTTCTTCATGCAATTATATGGAAAGATCCCCAATATATATCAAGTAAAGGATTTTAGGTATATAATGGTATAATTAAACCCTACCATTTTTGTAAAAATAAAATATGTGTGTATACACACATATCAGGTATGCACACCCACATTCCTATATGGGCATAAAACATCTCTAGAATGGAACAACAACAAAAAATTGATAAATTGCTCCCTCTATAATTTTGAGGAAGCTCCCAACAGCTAATTAATTTTTGTTCTTTGCCCTAAACCTGCCCCTTTTTTCATTTTTTTCATTTCCAAAAAGGTACTACCATTGATTGTCTCAGAAAAGTAGAAATGAGATTTGTTCCTTCTCTTGTCCTCACCCAACCCCCATTAAATCAGTTATCAAATCCTGCTAACTTTATTTCCAAAACAAGTCTCAACTTTATCTACTTGTATTACAGATGTTGGCTATTTATCAACGTTTTCTGTTCCTTTCAACCTTAGTCATAGACGTCCTGATTTTCAACTAGACCTGTAGTAACCTAGAGTAAACATTTTATTGTCTATCTTCCATTGTAATCACATGGGGCCATGCTACTGAGTGCTTTCCAATGAGCTGTAACTGCAAGCATCACGTATAATTTCTAGAAATTCTCTTACAGGAAAGGGATGTATCTTTTTTCCTCCCTTCATCATTCACGTTGTCTGGGATGAAAACAACATGACTGGAATTAAAGCAGCCACCGTCAATGAGGAGGTTGAAGTCACGTATTGACAAAATGGAAGGAATCTGGTCCCTAAGAATGGTGGAGCCACCAATTGAATTCTAGGCTATGTACAGATTTCAGTTATGCGAGAGAGGAATAAATATCTGTCCAAGCCACTGTAATTTGGAGTTTCAGTTACAGCTACTCCAAATCCCAAATGATAAAATGTCTCTGTATTTCAATGGCCAACCACCTGACCAAAGCCCAGTCCATTTCACCTGAACTGCTGCAACAGCTTCCTAACTGTTCTATCCACATCCCACCTTGACCTCTTCCTCTGCTGAATTCTCCACACCTCAATAAGAACATGCTTGTAATATATATATGTATATATACGTATATATACATATATATGTATATATACATATATATGTGTGTATATATATATATATATATATATATGATCGAATCCTCCCTTTTTTTTACAATCCTTTAAGAAATTCCCATTAGTTTTAGAGTAAGTTTAAATTCTCAACATAGCCTATTCAATCTTACATTGTCTGGCTCCTAAAACTTCAGCTCATCCCTCGCTGCTTCCCCCCCTCACTCACTGGGCTCCAATCACATGGAAGTTTCAGATATCCTGTGCCCTCTACTGTTAGATTCACCTTAAATCTTCTGTCTCCAGTCCCTACTGCCTACTAAGTCTACTAATCAAATCTTTCGGGTCTCTGGTAAAATGCAACTTCCTCAGGAATTATAGTCAGGAATCATGACTATACTTTCTCATGACATCTTGGATTATGCCTTATAGTCCTTATTTCCTGCATGGTTAGCATGGTTATTTGTGCAATTATTCCTTTAATGTAGAGGTTTCAAATGGTATGTAGGACTAATCTGCTTACAGATGCATTCCATGGTCCACACAGTATTTCTTTTGAAAAGCTTTAATCAGTGCATTCTCTTTTTGGTTTGTCACACTTCCCATCAATTCACACCATTTCACAAATTTAGGTCCCTTTCCTGCCTCCTGCAGGCCTTTGCACATTTGGCCTGCCTCTCCTACTAAACTAGAGTCTCCATGAGGGTAAGGATGGTGCCTGTCTTCCTCATCACTCTATGCCCACTATCTGACATCCTTAAGACCTATCAAGGTGCTCTGGAAATCCTTGCCTAAGGAATAAAGCCAATGAATGAGCTGTTTTCATTGCCATTATTAGCAGCCTTTTTCTTCCTTTGGTTTTATTTTTAATACCAGATACCATAAGTAGATAAGTGTGGTGGAAGTATCCATTTGGTAACTATTTCACATGAAATTTTGAACAAATTTAGCACAAGACTCTGAACCTTAAGGCAAACTTTCACTTTTTATCCACTGGACTAAATAGAAAGTAAATTCATATAGTTACACTTTTGAATTTTGAGAAGTTTACAAAAATATTTCATCCAGGCCATTCTATTTCTATTCCCTAGGAGTTAGGCACCTCACTGACAGTGCCCCCAATTCTCCAAAGGCTTTTTAGCTCAAGGTTTAAAAAATGAAATGTAACTTTTAAAAAAGCAATCTGTCCTCCCTGATGGCAACTCCAAAAAATAAACCCAGATCACACTGCTTAAACGTTTTATGACAGCAAACATTGTGCTTAATACAAAACAGGAATTTTCAATTTGTCAATAATAAGAAAATGAAGATGCAAAACAAAATGTCTCTGTATTTTCCAGATATTTTATTTTTATGTTTCATATTTTCTTATTCTTCAAAGGGACAGAAGTTTGAGGTTTTGTATTTATTTTCTAAAGCTGTGGCCTTCTATATTTTGACAGAAAGTATTAGGGCTGAGTTACTTCTAAAAATTCCAGGTTCTCCACTCTTATAACACATTTACATTGACTTGAAAATTTTTCATTGCACCTACACACACATTTTTTGTAGGTTTTCCTCACTTGGTGAAGACTGCAATGTTGTTAATACCTCTGAAGCATTTTAGAGTTACCCAAACTCTAGATGAAAATTCTACAATAAGGAAATTCAGCAGGATGCTAAATAAGCAATATTGCTCTTTCTCTATAATTGTTGTCAAAATGTTAAAAGCTAAGCCTTCCAGCCAAAACAAAAAGAAATGATAATTTTCTGGATTGGATCAATGGTCCATTCAGGCCAATAGCATCTTCAACAATTCATTTGGGAGGTGATTTGCCCCTAACTATAATGTTAACAAGAACAGTGTTTCTCCAAGCATTTCAGAGTCTCTTAATCATGGTTCTTTTATTTGTGAATATATAAAAACATTTTTAAACTCATAATATTTCCCTTGACTTACTGTCCACCAGAGGAAGTGGTATTTTCTCTTACTTGGCTTAAGCATTCTTAAGCTGCAAAGGTAACTAACTACTCTCTCTTGTGTTCCAGGATTCAGTGAAACGGTCTCTATTGATAGCCAGATCAGACTGTGAATGAATGACCTTTTAAAACAGCCAGGTGTTTATCTCCCAGTGCATCCTTCCCTCTCTTCAGGATAAATCTTGGACAGTTAAGCTTATCCTCATGAGGTATCCTTCCCATGATATTTTTCCTGAAAAATTCCACTTGGCCTTTGAGAAGTGACTCACAACCATCTAAGGAAAAAGATACTCCAAAACAGGGCTCCAACTGGGTGGGCCTAGGCCATCTCAATGTCTCCAGTCCAGATCAACAAGGAACAGAAATACTGAGGGGTGGAAGAAATGACGAAGAAGCAGGGAGGAGGTTGGTAAGCAGTAGGCAGGTGAGGGGATCCACATCCACTGGATTGATAAGAAAGTTTGATTCCACAGCAAATACACCAGTCTAGAGTGTTCACAAAAACCCTTCAGACATTTTAGTTATGGGCACTGTCAAAGTTTGTTACAATCTTGCTTCAAGGACAAAGGCCTCCAGTAAGCCAATCAGAAATATTAATACATTCTTCATAAGAACATTTGATAGGAAAATACAAAAAGAAGAGAATGTTTGTTAAAAGCCACTAGATTGTTGAATGTCATTCAGTGGGGTAGATAGGTGACTGGTTTCCTAGAACAAGACTTTGGTCCATTAATGTTTTCCAGAATATTACTTAAGCATTTTGTCAGGAATGTTAATTTCTTCTCAGAATGAGGTTGCAAATTACATCATGTAAAAAGATTCCTTCCCACACCAGGTTTGGGGCAACTTCTCTTTTATAGTAGTCAGTTTCAAGGCAGTGACCAGAATTCATATGACAGTCAAGAATTGGAAACAATATAGCAGAGTGTGAGTTTTGCAGTCAAACGGACCTGAGTGGTGAACCTTAGTATTAGCTGATTCATGTGTAAAATGAGGGTAAAATAATAACTACCTTGTTAGGGAGGAGATACTAATAAATACTATTTCATTCTTGTTATTTATTTTCTCTGAATTTTTACAATTGATCACTTTTATATTAATCATTTTTATTCATCATCTTAATAATAAAAAATATTTGTTATTATTTTAAAGCATTATTATTTAAACATATTTATTATTTTTATGTGCTCATAGCAGCCAGGATCTGTATCTCCACATATCATTGCCTATTTCAAGGTCCTGAGGTAAGGTTTTAAAATTTAGAAAACACTTGAACACCAGAATCTGTTAGGCAATGTTATTCAAACACTAAGTTCCCCACACTATGGAAGTCAGGCAAAGTCCTAGACCAAATACCATTCTGAGCAAAGTTTTCACATACAAAATAATGTGTTAGTAGAACTAACTGTCTCTTCCCAGTAGCCCATTGCCATGGTAATCCACCAGACAAAATAGGATCGAAGAAAATATTTCTAATGCTTTCTTGTTCCAAGGCCTTGGCTTGCAATTTTGTCTTCTCAATAGACCATTAGCAAGTTCGTAGTGCCCTGTGCCAAACATCAAAAATTCAGATAAACTCAGGTTTATGTGTCAGTCATATTCTTCCCTTTTCTACCTTCAACCAGGGAATCCATGTGACCATTTTCCAGCCATTCTGGGAGTCCTCTGAGCAGCCAGAACAGAAGCATGGCCCAGCCTCCCCACAGCTGAGTCAGGCCCTTATATAATGAGTCCTATTGTTCCTCAATAAAAGCAATTTCTGTATTTCAAGATGTACGTCAAAGAAACATTTAACGGCAACTCAAACACTGCATTTTTCAATACTGGGTTAAATTCTTTTTTTTTTTTACAATCAGTAATTCATTTACTTCACCTGTATACCTATCACAACAGTCAATCCACTGTTTCATAATTCCTTGTTTGATCATCTGATGCTCCTACTAGCCTGTGAGCTGGGGGGCCGGGAGAGAGTCTGCCTTGCTCAGTGCTTTACATCTGCAGCCCAGCACAGTGCCTGATGGCAAAAGCACAAAGTATAAGTGATCAAATAAATATTCTATTATAATTGATTACTTGAAATTGTGAAAAACAAAATTCACCAGACAATTAAGGAGATGATTTTATTTAGGCTGTTGCAATGAGGAGAATGTTCATTTTGTGAAAGAAAGGGAAGGGGTTCTGGGCTTTTATAGAGTTGGGTAGACAAAGAAGCTATCCTTGAATCATGAGGAGGGATGGAGACAGTTCCTACCTTGGCAAGATGCGAGGACAAGGTATTCTTTTGCAGTTAACCATTTCCCGGGATACAAAAGAATGGGCAAAATTCTCAACAGGTGCTGCTTTCCAGAAACACAAGGCTCAGATAAAGTGCAACATTATCCAAATTAAATATGTAAAGCATAAAGCACAGAGACTAAGAACACGCAATAGCATGATAGGCACTTCTAGCTGGATAAAATGGTTTAGAATAAACAGAAAAGGCAACCTTTCCCTGGACACAATCACTAGAAGTTTCCTGGTGGCAGCTGCTCCCAGGAGTGTCTGAGATCCTTGCCCACTTCTCACTCCAGGCTGACCGCTAGGTTCCCAAATGTCAAAGACCCTCACTTGTCTCCTCCCATCACTCTCACTGCCTACTTCTCAGGTCATGTCCCTTGGAGGCTTCTTCAGTATCTATCACAGTGCCCAAGCTGTCCTGTATAGTAGGTGCTCTCCAAACATATAAATTATATGAACTTACTTATATTATATATTTATTTAGTTATATAAATTTTAATTATATGAGTTTAATTTAATAAACATATAAATTATATGAATTTAATTTAATTCAATTATATGAATTTAATGAATGCATGGCCAAGAGCTGAAGTTTTGGAAAATCTAATGTCATACTGATTATCATGGTTTTCTGTCTTCACGGAGAAAACAATTACATTGGCGAATCTCTGTGACGGCAGATTTGCTCCACCCTGGAGTCTTTTTCCTGTGTCATATTTTAGAATCATCCTTTTAAAATATTTTGAATTTTTCTGTTCTAAATGCATTACACTGCACATGTCCACACTTAAGAGGTCCATGTCGTCCAGGCACAGTGACTCATGCCTGTAATCCCAGCACTTTGGGATGCCCAGGCAGCAGATCACCTGAGGTCAGGAGTTCGAGACCAGCCTGGCCAACATGGTAAAACCCCGTCTCTACTAAAAATACAAAAATTAGCCAGGAGTGGTGGCACGTGCCTGTATTTCTAGCTACTTGGGAGACTGAGGAATCAGAATCACTTGAACCCGGGAGGTGGAGGTTGCAGTGAGTAAAGACTGCGCCATTGCACTCCAGCCTGGGTGACAGAGTGAAACTCTTCTAAAAAAAAATAAAAGTCTATGTTTACTGCTTTCCTACATATTAGAACAGCCTCCTAAATTTTCCCTGCATTGGTACTCATCCACTTAGCTTTTCCATATCCAGAGTAGTTCAGCATTAGCTGCAGACTTTGGAGATTTCACTGTGTGAGCCCTTCTCTGGATCATTTATAAATGTTTTAAATAAGATTGAGCCAGACCAATCCCTGAGGAACCCCACTGTGTTTACCCTTTTCCTTCCAAACAAATGTGCATTTCTACTGATTCACTTTGTTTCCTGTCTCTAAGCCAGTTCTAAATCTGTGACAAGATACCTTTACCCATCCTATGATGACAACAATTGCCATTAAGCAATACTTCAGAGGTCTCACAAAGAACAAAATGTCACCGGGGATACAGAGGCACTTTGTAGTGTGCTGATGTGACACTACCCTCCTCACAGTGCCATTTAAGAACCACTTAACACAAAGGTTAAATATTGTCCCTACAGAAATTCAGGCACAACAGATGATCAACAGATCTGGGATGCAACAGAATATTTCAAACCCAAGTTTCAACAAGAGTATTTATTTCAAATAATGTCAGCTTTTAGTTTAGTAGATGAGGTTTCAGAATTCTGAAGACTTCAGCATGAAGATATGTCCATTTAAGAATGTTGCCTCTTTTGGAATGAGGTTTCAAGCATTGTTTTATAGAAACTTTGGGAGGCTTTGCATGAACTTAAGACTTTTAATATACATGAATGGAAACAAACACTCTTTGGCTCAGTTTCTACCTGTGCTAAATTTGGTGTTCGTTAATTCTTCAGTATTCACTAAGGAATACTCAAGAGCTACTCTTGTACAGAGCCTTTTCTGCTATCTCCACTACAATGGAAACTTCTCAGACTCTAATTACCTGTTCAGAGTTTTTTGTTTGTTTGTTTGTTTGTTTGTTTGTTTTTTAAACAAGGTCTCACTCTGTCGCCCAGGCTGATGTACAGTGATGTGATCTCAGCTCACTGCTACCTCCACCTCTCAGGTTCAAGTGATTCTCCTGCCTCACCCTCCCAAGCAGCTGGGACTACAGGCAGGCACCACCACACCTGGCTAATTTTTGTATTTTTACTAGAGATGGGGTTTTGCCACATTGACCAGGTGGTCTTGAACTCCTGGCTTCATGTGATCCCCTGCCTCAGCCTCCCAAAGTGCTGGGATTACAGGCATGAGCCACCGCACCCAGACCACACACTTTTCTTTTTCTTTTTTTTTTTTTTTTAAGAGAGACAGGATCTGTCACCCTGGCTGCCAGGCTGGAGTACAGTGGCGTGATCATGGCTCATTGCAGCCTTGACCTCCTAGGCTTAAGTGATCCTCCCACCTCAGCCTCCCAAGTAGCTGGACTATAGGCATAGGCCACCATGCCTGCCTGATTCTTTTATTAGTTTTTGTAGAGATGGAGTCTCACTATGTTGCCGAGGCTGATCTCAAACTCCTGGGCTCAAGTTATCCTCCTGCCTTAGCCTCCCAAAGTGCTGGGATTACAGGAATGAGCCACCACCCATGGCCTGTTTATATACTTCTTAACAACCAGAATAAAACATTTTTTATGATAGGAATCACAATGTATTCATCTCTATATCACTAGAGCCTGACTAGTAGGTACCTACTACATATTTGAAAAAATGTGTGAATGAATGAATGTATAAGTGAATGACTATCCCCAGTAACCACCCCACTTGAAATAGGAGCCATGAAATGATATATGTTAAAAATATTTAGGTGTTCTGGAAAAAACAAAAAACAAAAAGCAAGGGAGATTAAAGGTGGGGTGTTGATATGGCTTGGCAGTGTCCCCACTCAAATCTCATCTTGAATTGTAGCTTCCATAATTTCCACATGTTGTGGGAGGGACCCAGTGGGAGGTAATTGAATCATGGGGTCAGGTCTTTCCCTTGCTGTTCTCATGACAGTGAATAAGTCTCACGAGATCTGATAATTATGTAAAGAAGAGTTCCCCTGCACAAATTCTCTCTCTTCCCTGACGCCACGTAAGATGTGCCTTTCACCTTCTGCCATGATTTTGAGGCCTCCCCAGCCACATGGAACTGTGAGCGAATTAAGCCTCTTCC
Organism: Homo sapiens; assembly: GCF_000001405.40. Lineage (NCBI taxonomy): Eukaryota > Metazoa > Chordata > Mammalia > Primates > Hominidae > Homo > Homo sapiens. Next base: position 89,819,925 of record NC_000010.11, on the reverse strand, counting down.
CTTTATAAATTACCCAGTCTGTGGTATGTCTCTATTAGCAGCATGAGAACAGACTAATACAGTAAATTGGTACCAGGTAGTGGGGTACTGCTGTAAAGATACCCCAAAATGTGGAAGTGACTTTGGAACTGGGTAACAGGCAGAGGTTGGAACAGTTTGGAGGGCTCAGAAGAAGACAGGAAAATGTGGGAAAGTTTGGAACTTCCTAGAGACTTGTTGAATGGCTTTGACCAAAATGCTGATAATGATATAGTCAATGAAATCTAGGCTGAGGTGGTCTCAGATGGAGGTGAGGAACTTGTTGAGAACTGGAGTAAAGGTAACTCTTGCTATGTTTTATCAAAGAGACTGGTGGAATTTTGCCCCTGCCCTAGAGATCTGTGGAACTTTGAATTTAAGAGAGATAATTTAGGGTATCTGGTGGAAGAAATTTCTAAGTGGCAAAGAATTCAAGAGGTGATTTGGGTGCTATTTAAAGCATTCAGTTTTAAAAGAAACACAGAGCATAAAAGTTTGGAAAAGTTGCAGCCTGATGATGTGATAGAAAAAAAAAAAATTTTCTGAGGAGAAATTCAAGCCAGCTGCAGAAATTTGCATAAGTAACGAGGAGCCAAATGTTAATCACCAAGACAATGGGGAAAATGTCTCCAGGGCATGTCAGACACCTTTGTGGCAGCCCTTCCCATCACAGGTCCAGAGGCCTAGGAGGAAAAAATGGTTTTGGGGGCCAGGCCGAGGACCCCCTGCTGTGTGCAGCCTAGGGACTTGGTGCCCTGCATCCAAGCTGCTCTAGCCATGGCTAAAAGGGGCCATGGCCTTCAGAGGGTGAAAGCCCCAAGCCTTGGCAGCTTCCATGTGGTGTTGAGCCTGTGGGCACACAGAAGTCAAGAATTGAAGTTTGGGAACTTCCGCCTGATTTCAGAAGATGTATGGAAATGCCTAGATGCCAAGGCAGAAGTTTGCTGCAGGGTGGGGCCCTCACGGAGAACCTTTGCTAGGGCAGTGCAGAAAAGAAATGTGGGGTTGGAGCCCCCACACAGAATCCCCAGTGGGGCACTGTCTAGTGGAGCTGTGAGAAGAGGGCCACGGTCCTTCAGACCCAAGAATGGTAGATCCATCAACAGCTTGCACCATGCCCAGGGAAAAGTTGCAGACAACATCAGCCTGTGAAAGCAGCCAGGAGGGAGGCTATAACCTGCAAAGCCACGAGGGCAGAGGTGCCCAAGACTATGGAAGTCCACCTCTTGCATCAGCATGACCTGGATGTGAGACATGGAGTCAAAGGAGATCATTTTGGAGCTTTAAGATTTGACTGCCCTGCTGTATTTCAGATCTGCATGGGGCCAGTAACCACTTCATTTTGGCCAGTTTCTCCCATTTGGAACAGCTATATTTACCCAATGCCTGTACCCCCTTGTATCTAGGAAGTAACTAACTTGCTGTTGATGTTACAGGCTCATAAGTGGAAGGGACTTGCCTTGTCTCAGATGAGACTTTGGACTTTTGAGTTAATGCTGAAATGTGTTAAGACTTTGGGGGACTGTTGGGAAGGCATAATTGGTTTTGAAATGCGAGGACATGAGATTTGGGAGGGGCCAGGGCAGAATGATATGGTTTGGCTGTGTCCCCATCTAAATCTCATCTTGAATTGTAGCTCTGATAATTCCCACGTGTCATTTGAGGGACCCTATGGGAGGTAATTGAATCATAAGATCACGTCTTTCCCATGCTATTCTTGTGACAGTGAATAAGTCTTACAAGATCTGATGGTTTTATAAAGGGGAGTTCCCCTGCACATATTCTCTCTCTTCCCTGCCACCATGTAAGATGTGCCTTTCACCTTCTGCCATGATTGTGAGGCCTCCCCAGCCACGTGGAACTGTGGGTCCATCAAACCTCTTTTTCTTTATAAATTACACAATCTTGAGTATGTCTTTATCAGCAGCATGAAAACGGATTAATGCAGGTGTGAAGGTAGTTGGCAAAATTAAGTGGGTGGTCCCAGTAAGCCTTATTGAGAAAGTAACATTCTAGAAAAGTTACAAAGAAGGTGGGAGATTGGGCCAGGTATACATGTTGGGTGTAAAGAAATGCAAAGGATATGGTGAGGGTAAAGACTCACGGCCAGGGCACTACTGGCACTGGGGAAGAAGCGAGAGGCCCGTGTAGCTGGGAAAGAGATGGGGACACTAGAAGATGAGGTCAGGGAGGTAAGGAGAACAATGAGGATGGGTGTCAGTGGGCCATTGTAAGCCCCTTAGCTTTTACTTTTAGTGTAACTGGATTTTGAACAGAGAAACAACATGCTCTGACTTATATTTTAAAAGATCACTCTTGCTACTGTGTTCAGAAAACTTTATGGAGTTTTGAGTGGTGAGCTAAGGGGAGAACATTTAGAAAACTAACTTCTCCTAACCCGTGTGAGAGATAATTGCAGCTTAGCGGCAGAGAAGTAATGGGAAGTGATCAGATTCTTTAGCATTTCCTAGTGAATTAGATGAGAGGTGCAGAAGAAAGAGTAGAGTTGAGAAAGACTGCAGGAATTGGGGAGTCAGCAAAGGAGCAGTTTTTCTTTGTCCGGGGCTAGGGGCAGGGAGCAGGAGGTGGAATCAGAAATTCAGCTTTGAACATGTTGTAACTGAGATGGCTATTAGACATCTGAGGGGAGATGTGTACCAGGCAGTTGGTTATATGTGTCACGATTCAGGAAAGACATTGGGGCTGGAAACATAAATTCTATAGACAAATGGTGGGGTTTTTGTTTTGTTTTGTTTTGTTTTTGTTGTTTTTTGTTTGTTTGTTTTTGAGATGGAGTCTCGCTCTGTCACCCAGGCTAGAGTGCAGTGGGGCAATCTCAGCTCACTGCAAGCTCCGCCTCCTGGGTTCATGCCATTCTCCTACCTCAGCCTCCCGAGTAGCTGGGACTACAGACACCCACCACCACACCTGGCTATTTTTTTGTATTTTTAGTAGAGACGGGGTTTCACCGTGTTAGCCTGGATGGTCTCCATCTCCTGACCTCATGATCTGCCTGCCTCGACCTCCCAAAATGCTGGGATTACAGGCGTGAGCCACCGCAGCTGGCCAGACAAATGGTGTTTATTAAAGGCATAAGGTAAACTGAAATCCCCAAGTGAGTGAGCAAGCAAGGAGACGACCAAGGACAGGGCCCAGGGCCCTCCAGCAGTAGGACAGGGGAGAAGATGGGGCCAGCAAGTCGGCAAAGAAGTGACAAGGAAGGAGGCAAAAAAAGGCATGCACACTTCAAGTAGAGAAAGTATTAAGAGGAGGGAACCATCAATGTTTCTAAATGCAAATGGGTCAAATAAGTTGAGATGAAGCATTGGCAGTTGGATTTAGCAACACGAAAGTCATCCCACACTCAATGAAGACTAGTAGGCCCTCTCAGACTACACCCTTCCCTTGGGTATTCGCTTAATGCAGTTGAATTCCTAATTAGTGACACTTTGGGCATTTACTCAGTGTCTTCTGTGTGGGTCAAGCAGCAAGCTAAGTTCTGGAGATTCAAAGATAGTGAACATGGTTTCTAACCTCAGAGATCTGGTCTTGTGTTGACTGCAACTACTAGGTTACAATGTAGAGTGATGCAGAAGCCACAGTGGGTCCATGTAGCACAGAGAAAAAGCAGTCTGTGTCTTCTGGAGTCAGATTAGCTTGGGTTTGAATCCTAGATCTACTGCTTACTGGCTGGGTAACCTCAGACAAACTGACCTTCCTGAGGCTGTGTCCTCACCTGAAAAATCACATCACCTCAGAGCATTCTGGAGTTGATGAAATGAGATTATGCATGTAAGCACCGGGAAGATGCCTGACACAGAGGATGTGACCAATAAGTGTGACTATTCCTTCTATAGAGAACGAGCAGTGCACTAAGGATGCCCGGAAAAAAACAGAACGATCCTCGCCTTGTAACCCTGCCAGTGGAAATGTCAAAAATGTCATGAGGAAGGTAACACCTGAGCTGGGTCATGAAGGATAAGTAAAAGTTTACCAGGTAGAGGAAAACAAGCTGCTCCAGAGAGGGTTTTCCTGAATAGAATGTGTTGTTTTTTTGATTCTTGCCCAGTCTGGCCCCTCAAACAGCTTTGGACGGTGTCCCTGGGGTTCAGAAAGAAACCCCACTTCAGGGATCAAGAGAGCTAAGACAGGGCTGGGCACAGTGGCTCACGCCTATACTCCTAGCACTTTTAGGAGGCCAAGGCAGGAGGATCATCTGAGGCCAGGAGTTTGAGACCAGCCTGGGCAACATAGGGAGACCCCTTCTCTACAGAAAAATTTAAAAATTAGCCAGGCATGGTGGGGCATGGTGGTGCACTAGCTACTCCTGAGGCTGAGGTGGGAGGATCGCTTGAGCCAGGAGTTCAAGGCTGCATAGTGAACTACAGTTGCACCACTACACTCCAGCCTGGGTGACAAAAAAAAAAAGAGACAGAGAGAGAAAGCTATGACAGCACAGGCCTCTCCACACACTCCTGACTATGCAGGAAACACACCCAGTGGCTAGAGGAGAGGAAAGTTCAAGCAGCCTTTGAAAGAAAAGAGAAGGGTGTCAACCTGGCCAGGAACAGCTCCCAGGGAAGGGAGGGGCAGCGTCCAGGTGTATTCTAAGTGCACAGCATCCTCTTAAGCCCTTGAGCACTGTAGAGGGCATGGTCCCTGGGGCTGAGCAGCATAGCAGCCCTGCAGAGGAGTACTCACTGCCTCCACATATCAGAAAAGCCAAGGCATGGGCTCCTACCCAAGAAGTGCTGTGACCCTGATCAGCAGATTCAAGGAGCTTGAGAATAGCTTTGGAGAAGCCACTGACTCTCCACCGCCAGGAGCTGAGCATCATTCACAGGCCTATAGGTACAAAGGTAGACTGGATACACCAGTGCGTGGGCAAAAGTCGGATGTTATAGATTTCTCTAGGTTGAAGTTAAATTTTCGGTAAGATAATACTGCAAAAATGTTTAAAAACCATCTTCTGTTACTCCCTTCAAAAATTTCTCCTTCCAATTCCCTTGAGGTGACCACCTTTGTGGAGCTCTCTCCCCACTTTGCCTCAATTTTATTCACTGATTTGTTTTTGAAGTGGACTGCGCTTGATAATAAAGCTAGACCAGAAGAATGAGCTACCTTCAGTGGAACTTCAAGCATCCGTGGCTTGTCCGTGGCTGGAAATTTTTGAAAAAGGGGTTCTCCCAATGTATCCCAGCGAAGGAAATCAGACTATTTTACCTCAAAATATACTTCTTTGGCATATTTTTAGATAGCTAGTCAGAGAGGCTGCAGGCCACAGGAACAGCTTTGAACAGCTGTCCTGTTCAAAGATCTGCAGAGAAAATCTACATTAGTGAAACAAACAGCAGAAGCAAACAGGCTTTCTCTGAGGCCCCTTTCATCTCCCTTATCTAGGTCTAGTGAAGATTAACTCAGAAGGTCTGACACTTTTAAAGGTCTGACAGAGAAACAGTGACTCTGTCTATTCCATCTGAGGGCAGCTCCAAGATTACAAGAGAGATTTTTATCTGCGTAACAAGACAGCTTTGGCTTGTCATGCTCTTCTGCCTCACTCTCCCATAGCCTGGGATAAAGAACATGATGAATGTTAGTGCAAGGGCCAAGAGAAAACTTCCCCTTTGCCCTGTGAAGTTTCTCTGAAAATCACTGACGAATGGAGATTAATGAGAGGAAAGACATACCATTATTTGATTATAATTTTATGTGACACAATAGCCTTCAGAAAGGAGACCCAAAGATACAAAGTAACTTTCCATTTTTATGCTTAGGTTCGACAAAGTACAGACAGCAGGTAGAAATTATGATTGAACAAAGAGAGTATAATCTAATGCTAGAAAACTGAGCAGGGAAACCCAGCAAGACCTGTCTGTTTACATGCTTCATGGCCTCTCTGTACAGCATTCCTCCCTTCTGGGTGTGGGGTAGAACCCTTTCTGGAATGGGGGTCTTATGACCCACAGGCAAACAAGGTAGTTCAGATGATTTCTCTATGCCAATTTTTATACAAAAATACAGGAAGGAAGTTAGAGCAATATTTTTAGGTTTTATGGCTGGCTTTGGGGGCAAAGAGTTCTGGTTTCTATGACCCACCTTAAGGAAGAGGGATTCTAGTTTCTATGGTTAGCCTCGGGGGAGAATGAGAGGCCAGAGACAGGTGGGCAGGAGGTCAGAGAGAGCTGCTTCTGAGGTCTTCATTTTGGGGTTTCGTTTTCTGAGACCCTACATCAGCAATGGTTTTTCACTAGTGAGATAAATGGTCTTCAAGATGTGTGCATTGGCTAAAGTATTTAAAGGCTCTTTCTGTTCTTTGCACAAGTAGGATAAAACCAAAAATCTAGCACGAGCACTAGTCTGTATCTTTTGGAATGTGCCCCATGCTTGACTGCAGACAGAACAGCTACTGATTCAGGGGATTCTTGCTGTCTCTATCCAACTATAAGGTTAGCTGAATCCACCCATTTACAGACAATTTATTTTTGACAAAGGTACCAAGAACACACAATGGGGAAAAGACCGTCTCTTCAATAAATGACGTTGGGACAACTAGATATCCACAAGCAGAGAATAAAATTAGACCCTTATCTCACACCATATACAAAAATCAACTCAAAATGGATTGCAGACTCAAACATAAGACCTAAAATTGTAAAACTACTGGAAGAAAACATAGGCACCTCTAAGACACTGGCTTTGGCAGTGATTTTTTGGATATGACCCCCAACAAACAGCCAACAAAAGTGAAAATGACAAATGGAATTTCGTCAAAGTAAAATGCTTCTGCACATCCAAGGAAACAATCAACAGCATGAAAAGACAACCTATAAAATGGGGGAAAAAATTGCAAACCATATATCTGATAAGGGGTTAATATACAAAATACATAAGGAACTCAATAGCAAGGAAACAACTGGCTAAAAGTAGGTAAAGGAACTGAATAAACATTTCTTAAACAAAGACATACAAATGTCCAATGGCCAATGGTGTATGAAAAGGTACTCAACATCACTAATCATCGCAAAATACAAATTAAAAACCACAATGAAATATGATCTCACACCTGTTAAAATGGCTAATATCAATAAGACAAAAGATAACAAGCGTTGGTGAGGATGTGGAGAAAAGGGAACCCTTTGTGCTGTTGGTGGGAATGTAAATTGATACAGCAATTATGGAAACTAGTATGAACGTTCCTCAAACAATTAAAAATAGTACTAATAGTATGATCCAGCAATCCCACTACTGGGTATATATCCATGGAATATGAAATCAATACATCAGAGAGATATCTGTACTCCCATGTTCATTGCAGCACTATTCATAATAGCCAAGATATGGATTCAACCTAAATGCCCATTAATAAATAAATGGATAAAGAAAACGTGGTACATATACACAATGGAATTCAGCCTTTAAAAAGAAAGAAATCCAGTCATTTGCAACAACATAGGTGAACCTGAGGACATCATGTTAAGTGAAATAAGCTAGGAATAGAGAGATAAATACATTATCTCACTTACATGTGGAATCTAAAAAAGAAGGAGAGAACAGAATGGTGGTTATTGAGGAAAGGGAGGGTTTGATTGGGAATATATTGGTCAAAGGGTACAAAATTGCAGTTAGGAGGAATAAGTTCAAGAGATCTATCATATACATGGAGACTATAGTTAATAACAATGTATTATATTCTTGAAAATTGCTAAGACAGTAGATTTAAGTATTCTCACCATTTAAAAATGACGTCTGTGGATGTAATGCATATGTTAATTAGTCTGATTTAGCCATTCCACAATATATACATGTTTGAAAACATCATATTACACATAATAAATACATATAATTTTTATTTTTCAAAAAATAACTATGCAAGTTACAAATTAAAAAATTTTTAAAAAAATAACATTAGCTACACATTGCCACATTTTCCTCTCATGGACCTTGCATACCAAATATAGTCAGAGAACCTCAAAGATCAGAGCTGATCATCTGGGGGCCTGCTTGCTACTAAATGTCACTATATATGGCAAAATTTGGCCTGAAACTTACTTCCATCATAACCTAGTAGAAAGTTGTGAGCAGAAGGCCCATAACCTTCACCAGCCTCTAATCCTTAGAGACGACAGACATTTCCCAAAAAGGACCTAACAGTTGTACATGAGGAAATTAGCTTGGTCATTTCACAACACCTGCCTCCATGATGCAGACTGGGGGTCACAATCTTGAGGATCTCTTCAGCTGCAACATCCCACAGCTTTTCAATTTACCTAAAATGTGTACAGCATCTACCTCTCATGCCTGGAAGCAGTTATATAACCATGAAACTGCTCCTGGACTTATAATCTTAATTTTAGTGTTGATCTTTTCCACCAACAGGAGATAAAGAAAGCTCCAGGGTTTTTCCAAAGCCAGCAATCCCTGTTTTCAAAGGTGCTATTAAGTAGTTACAGCATAATTGATGTTAACAATCGCTGGAACTCAACAATAAGGCCCCAGGGAGCATGAAGTGGATTTGTTCTCTCCCTCCCTGTCCAAAGAGGCTTCCCCCAAGATCATGCCACCTGAGGGGAGGTATTGTTTGATGCATGAAGCTGCTCCACTCCTTTTCTTCTTACTTGTCTAGATTGAAAGCCTCTTAGTGACAGCTCCCGCTGCTCTTTCAATGGAGGGTCCTTTCGCCTGCAGCAGAAGTTCTGGCACTGCAGGAGAAAACCAACTGGAGACCAGGAAATGGGATTTTAAACTCTCTTTGGGTACCTGGCACTGACAGGTAGTGGTGCCTACATGAACTGCTGGTTCTGTTTCCATGGAAACGTGAAACAGTTTGGACAAACAATGCCAGCATTAACCAGGACTGCCCCAGACAACAAGCTACCTGTCATTTAAAGAGGAATCCTAAATTCAATTCACACCAATATTTTATTGGGCCAAGCATTTTGCTGTTATGAATACAAAGGTAAATGAAACAGACACAGTCCTTGCCCTCAGGAAACTCCAGTCTAGCAGATTGGAGTGTATTCTGAAAAGAAAGATTCAAAGTACGGTAAGATAAACCAAGCAGATTTTACCATGTCTAAAAGGTGTTAAATGAAAAACCTAAAGGGTGAGTAAGAGTAATATAGATAGATAGATAGATAGACAGATAGATAGATAGATAGATAGATGATAGATAGATAGATAGGTAGATAGATAGATAGATAAGTACATATACATATGTTAAAGATCTTTTTTTAAATTTTTTACTGCTAGGGCTCAATAATCAAAAGTGTTTGAGGATCACCATCCTAGAGCAAAAAATTTCACATTAGAGTCACCCAAGATGCCTTTTAAAAGGACATATTCCCAGTCCTCTCCTCTAGCAATCATGTTTGGTAGATTGGGGTGAGTTACAGAAAATTATTTAATAAACACTCCAGGTAATTTTGATGAATACTGCTCTGCAGATTGGTTCCTTAGAGGGTAATTTATTTACTCTGCCACCAGTCCCAAGGGAGATCTTTGATCCTAGTCCACATTTAAACTTAGGATGGGGAATGAATTTTGTTTGATTGTTTATGTGTTTTTGTGGCATTTGAATATTTTGCTTATTGGTTATTGAAAGTGGCCTAAGTGACCTCTCCATCTTCTGGATTTCTCCAATAATTGAAGATTTCTACTTTGTGACTCTGGAGATCCACTTCTGCTATCTAAACCCTTACCTGGGCTTCCCTCAGCCTTGTCCCTGGCTTGTAGCTCCAGAGTTCATCAAAGTTGTGTCTTCCTTTACAATTTGTCTTGGCCCTTTCCAGTAGGGCAGCCAACTATCCCCGTGAGTCTGAAACAGAGAGATTTACTGCAACTTTGGACTTTCAATGCCAACTCCAGGAAAACTCCAGGTGGACCAGAATGAGCGTGTCATCCTAGCAAGAAGCGTGGCTTTCAATAAACAGCTGTGTATTTGATGTTAGAATAGTGGATCAGGGCCAAAAACAAAAATCGTTAATCCTTCCTAGAGGTCTGGTTTCTTCTACTCAATCATTTCTAAGCTTTCTTTGTGTTCATCCATCCAACTTCCACCCAGATCCATGGAAACAAGAACAGTCACAAGGCTATTAAATAAAATTTGAAAGTCTCTTGTCAATTTAACTGACTGACTGCAATGACTTAGAAATGCTAAGTTATACATGACTCTAATGCTGTTTGGAGGTAGAGAATAATTAATAAACCAGTGTCCACATTCCTAAGCATTGTCCATTAACTCAATCAGCTCTTTCTTTTTCTGGCTTTAGATAATTAAGAATAATGTGTCTTCAGTCCTGTGGCTTGAAAGGTTGTAGCTGATCCAAATAGTAGGCCTCCTGCAAAGAACTGCTCTGTTCCCTGTAATCTGTGTTACAGCAAGTATTTTATAAAAGGTTATGTGTGAAATCCCTTCCCCTCCAAGTTGAGTCCAATTCCCCATTCTTGATGGTTGCCTAGTGAGAAAGTGTCACTTTCTGCTCAGGCAAGAAGAAATGAACCAATATTCATTGAGAACCATCTATGCGTTAGGACCTGTCATAGCTATTTTAAAAGCCCAATCTCCCTTCATCCTCAAATCAAACCTAGAAAGAAGGAATGTACAATTCCTTTTTACAAATGAGGAACTCAATGCGCAGAGCATTCAAGGCTACACAGTTAAAAGATGTGAGCAGAGCTCCAACCCCTAGAAACAGTCTGCACTGACTAAGCAACAGCTTCTCCTCCACCGGGCATGCTCTGAGTCTCCCCACAGGGTCCCAGCACCTTGCTCATGTTCAGTTTAATTAACATGAAGCAGGAAAGGGGGTATATCTTTAAAACCCAGTCTCAGTCACAGGAACTCTCAGGATCTCTCACTTCCTCTGAGCAGCATCTGGATTCTCAGACAGCTGGACAGCATGCAGGCACTCTCTCCACTTTGTCTCCCAGAAGCAGCTCATTTTTATCCTGCTGGTTTCTGACTCTGGTAGGGACTCAATACTGCCTTTCTCATGGGCAATCTTCCTCTTGCCAATGCCAGGCTCCTCTCATCAGTCCCAGCTGCCCTCCTAGCTATTTCGGCTGCTGGGCATTTCCAGGGGGTTCTGAAATATTTCCTTGGCACCTGAGGTTATTTCCTTAAAGAGTCCCCCACCCATTATTCCCCTGCTTTTGATAAATAAGGCTTATGAAGAAAGGGTGCTTCTTTATAAACTGACTGATGTATGGAGAAGTAGGTTGGTCTGCCTGTGGTTCTCAAGCTATATATTGTTCACTGGGGTCCTAGAGCTTACCCAGGAATAAGCCTATACCAACCCACAAAACACCACATCCACAAGCTTTCCCTAGTTTTTCTGTATGGCAGGCTTTTGGTCCTCCAACTCTGAAACTTAGGGTTTACTAACATCGCCTCCAAGGAGCTCATTCTCCTCCAGCCAAACTCAAATACCAACTAAGGAACCTGGAAAAAGTCTCCATGTCCTCTTGCGATGTTTCGTATTCCTCTTCCCCATAGAGCTGAGGTATAGTGCAAATGGCCTTTCCAAGAGGAGCCCTGCGTGCCCTCTTACTATCCCCAGTAGAAAACATAAACCTTTTTTTTGAGAACATGTCTCTCTGTCACCCAGGCTGGCGTGCAATGGGGTGATCCTGGCTCACTGCAGCCTTCCCCTCAGGTTTAGGTGATCCTCCCACCTCAGCCTCCTGAGTAGCTGGAACCACGGGCGCACACCGCGAAGTCTGGCTAACTTTTAAAATGTCTGGTCAAGACAAGGTCTCACTATGTTGCCCAGGCTGGACTCAAACTCCTGGGCTCAAGCGATACACCCACCTCGACCTCCCAAAGTGCTGGGATTGCAGGCACCAGCCACTGCGCCTGGCCAAAAAACCTAAATCTTAATTATAACCATGATTATAATAAAAATAAAATGTAAGTACAAGCCCTTTATTTCAACAGTCTCTTTTCAGTGCAGGCTAGGTCCTGGACTCTATAATCTGATAGGGAGCAGAGATTGTCAGGTTTTTATATTTTAAGGGCCATGGAGAAGAAAGGCAGAAAACATCTCCATTGGCAAAATAGAGGAAAAACAAGTAGTTTGGATCTCTTGGTTTTGGATAGTTTACTCTCTGTGATGACATATTAAGGTTGGAGGCTAGATGTCAAACCTAATTCTTAATTTAAACATTGTTCAAATTTCTAAAATGCATCCCAGCCTCTCCTCCCAAAATGAGGAGAAACCATGACATCAAATTACATCTGCTGTAAATTATCTGCTGTTCTTTTTAACTTGGGTGTATTTGATTCAAGCTGATTGCTTGTGTTAGCAGAAGATGCCTCAAAGTATATTTGATCTGTAAGTTGTTTCCTGAGCTACATCATCTGCTGTCTTTGACAGCAATGTCTTATTTCAGATAGCATCCAATTAAGAGCAAAGCCCCACTCCCTTGAACTTGCCTCAAATCACTCACAAGCCCAATACCTGTTAAGTCCACTCTACAGCATTTCTTTCCTCTGCCGTGTTTCTCCATGGTGTTCATTCTCCCTCACTGTAAGTCAATAAATCCAATTCTGTTTGGCTTCAGGTGTGTTCCTGGTGGCTGCCCACTGAAGGCACTGATGGAGTGAATGAGTAAATAAGTTCCAGAAACAACTCTGCTGCTCAGTAACACTAAATCCTTGAATAAACCACCCTTCTATAAAAGAAATCACTCTCCTTTTTTGGGCACCATTTATCATCCAAAAAATAGAATAGCAGATGTGACTTGGATAATCATAAATAGTCTACATGCAAGCATAACATTCACTTTATTTTTATAAATATTTTGATTTCTCTTTTACAAGTACTCGTTCATTCTTAGCAATGACAAAACTAAATATAAGCCAATGTGGAAAACTCTGCCCAGCCTAGTAATTCTCCTTCTATCATTTCAAGTTTAAATGTCATTTTCTTCAGTATTGTCATCCTTGTTATGAGTCACCATGCAGTCCCAAGTTTTCCACTTGACCCACCTGAGCCCTAACCATTTGTTTATAAACGTCCAGGAAACCTTATACTTCACTACAGTGCCACGAGTCTATAGTGTTGTGGAGAAAAATCCAAATATCTGGAGGCACGGAGGTGATAGAGCATTATTCATCAGATTCTTGTTTGTTCCTCTGCTAATTGTCTCTCACTCAACGAGCTGTCATGGATGACCTCCAGAGGCAGCCCTGTTTCCTCCCCTATCAAAGTCAGAGTATCCCGGCTTGCCCCACGGACAGCACAGGCCTCTGGCAGTGGTAACGGGACAAGACAGTCCCCACTCTCTACTCACTTTACAGCTCATTCTGGGACTGACACAAGCTCATGTGTCTCCACTATGGGCTGCAGTGGAGATGCAGTTGTTCCCTTTTCTCCCTCTTGCATCTTCTCAAGTGCACCCCTCTGCAGTCCTCCATGCTCAGTACTCACAAGGTTCCAGGTGCCAGGCAGAATCAATCCAAACCTCCAAATTCATGCACAGCCTCGTGGCAGATTCCCTTGGGCCCCTGCCAGGTCCAGGTCCCCTGATCCCCTCAGAAAAGGGAAAAGGAGAGAGAGACTAGAGGCCTGTGCTCACCTCAGAAGGCCCCTCGCTTCCTCCTGGCACTCTTCATACCTTCTTTTCTAGCCCGCAGAAAAGATGATCCAGCTCAATTTCCCTCAGGCATCATTGCCTGCTGCTCTCCACAAAGAATAACCCCTGAGATAATGAGGTAGAATCCTAGGGTTTCACAGAGTCCATTCTGAAAATTCAGTTTCTTCTTCCTCCACTAAAGAATTTTTACATCATAACATAAAATGAGCCTTGAGACTTCCTGAAGTGACACTGCTCAGTGCCCAGCTTTCTTCTCACAGCCAGAGACAGGAACTAGCCTCCTCATAGGGCTTGATCTAGACTCAACTCCATATGGAAGCATCATTGGCAACTTGGAGCTGGGGTGTGAGTGGAGCTGAGGTGTGAGTGTGAGTGGGATTGGGCCATGTAAATAGTAACAATCATCACACAGACATTTTCTCAGTCTTTTCTCCTTCCTTTAGTTCTGTATGTGACTGTGTGAGAGTCTCTGTGGGGGGTGTGTGTGTGTGGGTGTATAGTCAGTTATATAGTGATTGCAGAGGTTTCAACCTCCATGAAGTGCTGTGATGCTGAGGTTAGTTTCATCCTCTTCTGCTCTTAAGAGAGAGACTGAAGTAACACTAACATAGGAAAGAGAAAGGAATGAATAGCTCTTCTTTCCTTTCACGTATAGAATTGAAAAAATGAGTCATATTCGTCAAGTAAAATCTGCTAGCACAGCTGTGGTTTAAAAGTGAGAAAAGCGGGACTGCCATGGAGATAAAGCAGGTCTTAGATGGTTAACAGGGAGAGAACAAGGAATTGATTAGTTTTAGCATGAGAAACATTGAACAAAACACAGAGTAAAGCCTGGCTATAAAAGTGGGTTCATAAATAAATGTAAAGATTTTCTCTATTAATTAACTCTAAGGGGAAAAGCACTGATGTGTGTTAATCTGTGGCTCTAATGCTGTTCAGTAGAGGGTTGTTTTTAATAGGGTAAACCTGGGAAACCTAGATGACCAAAAAATGTGGCGGGGTAAATAAACTATATAGTACATCTCTATGATGGAAGAGTACATAGTTATTAAAGACTATGTGGGAATACATGTAATAAAATGGAAAAATAATCACTATTTATTGTTAAATTAAAATGTAAGCTGCAAACTGGTATGTACATTTGCTTCTATTTTTGTTGAAGGAAAAAATACATATTCAGGTATAGGAAAAGTTTCAAGAGGATATACCTTAAATGTTTTACTTCTCTTCTGCCCCCCTGGTGAGGTAGGATTACAGATTACTTTCTTTTACTTTTTAAAAAATTAATATATATTTAAATTTCTATAATTAATATATTATTTTGTAATACATGAAAAAATAAAAATTTTTAAATTTTTTTCAGCTCTATTGAGGTATAATTGGAAAATTAAAATTGTACATGTACTTATTTAAGGTGCACAATATGATGTTTTGATACACAAAAACATAGCGAAGTTTACTACAACCAAGCTAATTAACATATCCATCATCTCACATAGTTACCTTTCTTCTTTTTTTCTAGTGAAAACAATTATCTACTCTCTTAGGAAATTTCAAGGACACAATACAATATTATTAAGTATAGTCACCACACTGTATATAGGTCTTTAGAATTTATTCATCCTGCATACCTGAAATTTTGTATCCTTTGACCAACATTTCCCCAATCCCCTCTGCTCCATCGCCTGCCCTTGTAACCCACCATTCTACTCTGTAACTGTAAGAGTTCAACTTTTTTATATTTCACTTATAAGTGAGATCATATGATATTTGTCTTTTTGTGTCTGGCTTATTTCACTTAGTATAATGTCCTTCAAGTTCATCCATGTTGTCACAAATGACAAGATTTCCTTCTTTTTTAAGGATGAATACATTCTTAATAAATAGTGTCTGTATGTGTGTGTATACATATACAGGTATATCTTGTTTTATTGTGCATTGCTTTATTGTGCTTCACAGATACTGCATTTTTTTACAAATTGAAGATTTGTGGCAACCATGAGTTGAGGAAATTTATTGGCAACATTTTCCAAGCAGCATATGCTCACTTCATGTCTCTATGTCACGTTTTGGCAATTCTCACGATATTTCAAACCTCTTCATTATTATTATAATATCTGTTGTGCTAATCTGTGATCAGTGATCTTTGATGTTACTGTTGCTTTTATTTTGGGGCGACACAAACTACATCCACATAAGACGGTGAAGTTAGTCAATAAATGTTGTATGCATTCTGACTGCTCCACCAACTGACCGTTACTCCATCTCTCTCCCTCTCCTCAGACCTCCCTATTCCCTGAGATACATCAATATTGAAATTAGGCCAATTAATAAAATTACAATGGCCTATAAGTGTTCAAGTGAAAGGGAGAGACACACATCTCTCACTTTAAATCAAAAGGTAGAAATGGTTAAGCTTAGTGAGGAAGGCATGTCAAAAGTCCAGATAGGCCAAAATATAGATCTCTTGGGCTATATTTAGTTAGCTAAGTTGTGAATGTAAAGGAAAAGTAGTTTAAGGAAATTAAAAGTGCTACTCTAGTGAACACACAAATAAGAAAGTGAAACAGCCTTATTGCACATATGAAGAAAGCTTTAGTGTTCTAGATAGCAGATCAAACCATCCACAACTCTCCCTTAAACTAAACCCTAATCCAGAGCAAGAACTTAACTCTCTTCAATTCTGTGAAGGCTAAGAGAGGTAAGGATGGTTCAGAAGAAAAGTTTGAAGGTAGCTGAAGTTAGTTCATGAGACTTAAAGAAAAAGTTATCTCCCTAACGTAAAAATAAAAGGTGAAGCAGCAAGTCCTGACATGGGAGCTCAGCAGGTTATCCCGAAGATCTAGTTAAGATAATTGAAGATGTCTACACTAAACAACATATTATCAATATAGATGAAACCGCCTTCTATTGGAAGAAGATGCCATCTAGGACTTTCACAGCTAGAGAGGAGAAGACAATTCCTGGCTTCAAAGCTTCAAAGGAAAGACTGACTTTCTTGTTAGAGGCTAATGCAGCTGGTGACTTTAAGTTGAATCCAGTGCTCATTTATCATTCTGAAAATCCTAGTGCCCTTAAACCTACATTATGCTAAACCTGCTCTGCCTCTATAAATGGGATAACAAAGCCTGGATAATGGCTCACCTGTTTACAGCATGGTTTACTGAATATTTTAAGCTAACCATCGTGACCTGCTTCTCAGAAAAAAGATTCATGTCAACATATTACTGTTCATTGACAATGCACCTGGTCACCCAAGAGTTCTGGCAGAGATGTACAAAAAGACTAATGTTGTTTTTGTGCCTGCTAGCAAAACATCCGTTCTGCAGCCCATGGATAAAAGAGTAATTTTGACTTTCAAGTCTTAATATTTAAGAAATACATTTAGTAAGATTGCAGGTGCCCCAAATGGTGATTCCTCTAATGGGTCTGGGCAAAGTAAATTGAAAACATTCTAGAAAAGATTCACCATTCTAAATGACATTAAGAATATTCACAGCTGGGTGCAGTGGTTCACGCCTGCAATCCTAGCACTTTGGAAGGCCAAGGTGGGCAGATAACTTGCGCTTAGGTGTTTGGGAGCAGCCTGGGCAACATGGTGAAACCCCTTCTCTACAAAAGATACAAAAATTAGCTGGGTGTGGTTGTGTGTGCCTGTAGTCACAGCTACTCAGGAGGCTGAGGTGGGAGGATCACCTGAGCCTGGGAGGTTGAGGTTGCAGTGAGCTGAGATCATGCCACTGCACTCCAGCACCAGCAACAGAGTGCGACCCTGTCTCAAAATAACAATAATAATAATTTTCATGATTCATTGGAGGAGGTCAAAATACCAAAATAAATGAGTTTGAAAGAAGTAAATTCCCACCCTCATGGATCATCTTGACAGGTTCAAGACTTCAGTGGAGAAAGTAACTGCAGATGTGGCAGAAATAGCAAGAGAACTAGAATTAAAAGTGGGTCCTGAAGATGTGACTGAATTGCTACAATCTCATGATAAAATTTAAACAGAGAAAGAGTTACCTCTTATGAATAAGCAAAGAAAGCAATTTATCGAGATAAAATCTACTCCTGGTAAAGATGCCAGGAACATTGTTAAAGTGACAGCACAGGATTTAGAATATTACATAAACTTAGTCAATGAAGCAAGCAGCTGGTTTGGAGAGGATTGACTTCAATTTGGGAAGCAGTTTTGTAGGTATAATACTATTAAGCAGTATTGCATGCTACAGGGAAATCTTTCATGAAGGAAGAGTCAACTGATGCAGTAGAATTCATCACTGTCTTATTTTAAGAAATTTCCACAGCCACCACAACCTTCAGCAATCACCACCCTGATCTATCAGCAACCATCAAAATCCAGGCAAGACCCTCCACCAGCAAAGAAATGACAACTCATTGAAGGCTCAGATAATCATTAGCAATTTTTGGCAATAAATTATTTTAATTAGAGTATACACATTTTTTTGACATAATGCTGCTGTATATTTAATATACTACAGTATAGTGTAAACATAATTTTTATATGCACTGGGAAAATGAAAAATTTGTATAACTTTTTTTATTACAATATTCACCTCTTGTGATAGTTTGGAACCAAACCTGCAATATCTCCAACGTATGCCTGTGTGTGTTTATTTATTTATTTTTTTGACACAGAGTCTCGCTCTGTCGCTCAGGCTGGAGTGCAGTGGCACAATCTCGGCTCACTGCAAGCTCTTCTTCCTGGGTTCATGCCATTCTCCTGCCTCAGCCTCCCAAGTAGCTGGGACTACAGGCGCCCGCCACCATGCCCGGCTAATTTTTTGTATTTTTAGTAGAGACGGGGTTTCACCGTGTTAGCCAGGATGGTCTCGATCTCCTGACCTCGTGATCTGCCCACCTCGGCCTCCCAAGGTGCTGGGATTACAGGCGTGAGCCACTGTGCCCGGCCATGTGTGTGTATTTTTATATACATATGTATACACATATATACAATAAAATTCAGGATTTTCAGCCATTATTCCTTTGGACAGGTTTTTTTCCCCTTTCTCTCTTCACCCTCTAGGACTCTCTTAATACTCATATTGGTTCACCTGATGGTATCCCATAAGTCTCTTTGGCTTTCTTCACTCTTTTTCTTTTTGCTCCTCTGACTGGATAATTTAAAATGACCTGTCTTGTTCACTGATTATTTCTTCTGCTTGATCAAGTCTGCTTTTGAATCTCACTAGTGAATTTTTAGTTCAGTCATTGTCTTCAGCTGCAGAATTTCTGTTTGGTTCTTTGCATTGTTTCTATCTTTTCTCTTGAACTTCTTCTTTTGTTTATTACTTGTTTTCCTGATTTCATTTAGTAGTTTATCTGTGTTCTCTTGTAACTCACTGACCTTCTGTAAGATGAGTATTTTTGAATTCTTTATCATGTAATTCACAGATCTCCATTTCTTTTGGATTGGTTACTAGAGATTCACTTTGTTCCTTTGATTGTCATATTTTCCTGATTCTTCACATTTCTTATAGGTTTGCATTGTTGTCTAAATATTTGAAGAAGCAGATACTTCTCTCAGTCTTTATGGACAAATTTTGATCGGGCGAGAGCTTTACCAGTTCAGTGCTTAATTTGAAGCAACATGGTGACTGACCACTGAGGGAGTGCATTGCAAGACTAAAGCAAGGGTCTCTTCACTCCCTTCCCTCCCACCTAAAGGAAAAGCCTCGTTTATGGTTTTTCCCAATAACCAGAATAGTTCTGGCTTTAAGAGATGCCAGCCCCTTTTCTTAGTTACTAATTGTCCCAGGAGGCTGAGATCTGTCACATTCAGGATTTGCTATGAAGAGATGGAAACCAGCTCCATAGAGGGCAACCTAAGATGCTGCAGATAGACCCCCTTCACTTCCTTCCCTCCTTTGTGGAGGAAAAATATCAGTTCTGTGCCTATTCCTAATCTTAAAGAGCAGTATCAGGTGTAAAGGGCTCACTCTCTCAGGGAACCAGGCTCTAGAGATCATCCAGTGCTTACTCTGATGCAAAATGAAAACTGGCCTTATAGAGGGTGCTCTGAGAGGCCAGAAGGCCAAACAGCCAGGCTCACCCTCCAAACAAATCCCCTGCCCCACAGGAGAAATCTTGGGCTGAGGTATCTTCTCAGTGTTTAGCTAAGGCAGTTTGCAGAAGTAACTGATGTGGGTAACGTGAAATTGCTCTTCTTAACCAGATAAATGTTACTGCTCTCTGTTTATGCTCCTGTCGAGTGCTTCTGCTTTTTAGTTGGGTTCTGAATTTCTTCAAGGTATTTTTGTATCAACATCATTCTTTTATCAGTGTTTCTGTGGAGGAATGTGCGGTTCAGCTTCCTATGCCATCATCTGTCTGACATCTTCAGAAAAATGTTTTTTAAAAACCAAAAGAGAATGAAAAATAACTGATCTTTTAAAGCTGTGTCAAAATGTTGATATTTGTTCAAACGTGCACCTCAGAATTGTCAGTGGCAGGAACACGAAGACAAAGCAGTGGGTTCAAACAGCTTTGCTATGAGTCTAGGGGTTCCTAAGGAGAACTTATGCTGAGTCATGTAAAATATTAAAGGGAAGGATAAAAGAAAATAGCAATAAGGTAGGTGTTAAACAACCAGAACTTAGATGAGAAATTAGGCATGGCAGAAAAAGAAGAAAGGAGAAAATATGGGGACTCCTGCAGAGCAAGAAATGGCAGGCCTGGTAACAGCCTCAGCATGTGAATGGGTGAAAATAAGAGTGATGTTTAAAATTACCTCTTGGACTGCCAACCTGAGGACACATCACACTGTTGGAGGAGATTGAGTCTCAGTAATGCATATTTGAGAAAAACTTGTTATGACTTCATCATCCTAAAGTTGAACAAAGACAGGGCTTCTAATAAAGAGAAATGTCCTATATCACCAAGACAGATTCAGAGATAAAAATGAGATGTAGAGGAATTCTTTCCTTGTAAGTTTTAGGAAAAAAAATCTGAAAGGAAGTAAGGCTTCAATGAGAACAAATGCAAAGGAACAGGAACTGTGAGTGGGACCAATGTTCAGGCAAATATTTTATAACATTGTAAGCAGTAAAATACCCAGTACATAGTAAACCTCACAAAATAGCAGATACAATTACCTGTGCACAAATTTTAGCTCACCAACTAAATTAAGAGGTCATTCTAAAAATTGCTATTAATATTCTCCCTTCAAAGTACATAGTATATTACCTTGTCTTTAGAGACTGCTCAACAAATGTCTGTTGAATAAATGAAGATAGTTAATAAGTCCATTTTATCCTTCCTAAATGCCACCTTCATTGGTAATAATACTTTTCTTTCCTTCTCTCTCTAGCCTTTTCAACTATAAATAGGAAAGAACAGGCTATGACTAACCACAAACTAGATTATTTCTCCCTATGAAATGAGTTCATTTGGACTCACAGACTGTTACAAGTAGAAGGAATTTTAGAAATCATGAAATCTAGGAGTTTTTAGGTCGTGCTCCATTATTCGACGTTGGGGTGGGGAAGGACCTATACTCAACTTTAATAAGTAACTCAGCTCTTATCTGTTTTATATATTGGTCTTTCTAGTAAAATTTTATTTGCTCAAAGCTTGTGAAGCTGAGCAAAATCTAAAAATGATCGAATCTGAAACTCTCACTTCATAAAGAGATAGCAGCTAAGAGAGATGCATAGCTGTAACTAAAAAAGTTTTTCTGTATAAAAAACAGTATTTATTCCTAGCACATCAAGCAGCCCCTAATTTGGGATATGTTTTTTCAAGTCAATTTTATGTAGACTTGCCAGATAAAACACCAGATGTCCAATTAAATTTGAATTTCAGATAAACAACAAAAAATGTTTCATATAGGTATGTCTCAAATACAGCTGCACTTATCCCACTGTCCAAACACCTGGGTCCATAAACACTCCATCTTAGAAGCTGTTGTAGCATCTATGCTTTCAGTGTATTGCTATCAAGAGACTATTTCTCACTCTCAGTTTGAACTGTAAAAACTCAGCCCATAAATCATACTCTCAGGTGTGCTATCATGGACTGACTCAGGATCAAACAGCCATTACCACAATAATCCTGACCACACGTTAGGGCAAAATGAGTGATTTCCTTTTGAAATTGGAAGGTATAACTGATCAGTGTTACCTTAAATATAATACTCTGCACATGTTCACAATTTAGTGGATCAGGTGGATGTGCGCTGATGTGAATGTATGTCTGTTTAAGGAAGTTGTAACATTTGTGCTGTTAACTTTTGGTGCCAACTGGACAATCAAACTTTAAATCATCCATTGCTTTCTTGTCATAGGCATCAAAATACTTTCCTTTCCAAGTAAACTATCTCTTCACTTCCAATTCCATTCAATAATGGGCTTCATTACAAATTCCATTTGCCAAGCATAGTGCTGGACATAAAGGTCTCCCTCCTTAATGTGCACTCATTCAGAAAAGGAGTCAAATGTGAAATATACAAATATAGTGTAATGTGCTATTCTGTGCAGGAGACGCGTGAAGAGAAAAGAAAAGGCACACACACAATACCTTTGAGGGTAAACAACCTTTATCCCACATAAATGGCAATGCAGATACAATAAGCAAATGATATAATAAGCAAATTGATATAATAAGCTAATTGCAATGGGAAAGGGAGAAGGGAAAACATATAGATACACATTCACCAGACTATGGAGGAATCATCACCAGACTGGGAAGCAACAGCCTGGGCTCCAGAGTCAGCCACCCATCCATGCACAGACGAGGAGAGGTCTCATGAAGATTCAGCATGGTCTGGGACCCTAGCTCTTTTTGTAATGAGTTGTTTGGCATGAGGCCCAGTCATGAGGGCCCTTCACGACTTGGCTCAAGGAGCACAAAAAGGTCAACTTGTTTTTGCGATTGTTTGTTGTTTTTCGATAACTAACATATAGGAATAGATTGAAATAGAGATTTCTCTGAAACAGTGCTGAATGAATGCCTCAAGGGGCTCACACAACCTGTTCCAGGACTTGGTGACTACTGTTTGTGTCCACGTTCAATTGAGTTCAAATTTAATATTTAACTTTTCCTCCACATGTGCTGAGTGCTATAATGGGGTAAATAAGAACCACTATGAGCACAGAAAAGGCATGTGAGACAGAAGTAAAGTGGGAGTTAAACAAAGATGAAAGAAGAAAGTGGATCTACAGGGACCGTACAGAATGATCAAAGGCTCAGAATCATGAAATGCCATAGCGTGCTCAAGAAACTATGAATAGGTTGATGTTGCTCAAATGTAAAGTTCAAGAGGAAGAAGAAAACGACAACTAAGCTAAAAATCTAGAGTAACTTTACAACATAAAACACTAAATCACTAGAAAAGCTTTAGCCAGGAAAGTGAAATGGTTCTTTTCTTTATTAAATTACCCAGTCTCAGATATTCCCTTATGGCAATGCAAATGCACTAAGATAGTTTGGATATAAAAATTTGAGACATGGCCAGAAGCGGTGGCTCATGCCTGTAATCCCAGCATTTTGGGAGGCCGAGGTAGGTGGATGACTTGAGGTCAGGAGTTCAAGGCCAGCCTGGCCAACCCTGTCTCTACTAAGAATACAGAAATTAGCTGGACATGGTGGCACACGCTTATAATCCCAGCTACTGGGGAGGCTGAGGTGGGACGATCGCTTGAACTCGGTAGGCAGAAGTTGCAGTAAGCCGAGATCGCACCACTGCACTCCAGCCTAGGTGACGAAGAGTTGAAGAGTGAGACTCCATTTCAAAAAAAAAAAATTGAGACATGAGTTTTGGATAAAGCTGCCTGGAAGCAGTATGGAAAAGGATGGAGGTTGGAGTAAAGGAAAGAGGGTGTGGTCTGGTCTTGCTCACCCTTGTATCCCCAGCCCTAGCACACTGAGTGGCACAGTGTAGGCACTCAATAAATAGTTGTCAAAAATACAGAATGAGAAACATAATGTACAGGAAGAAAAGACACTTTAATGAGTTTATTTGCAGATACGGTGAATTAGAAGTAACTGCAAAAATCCAGGGAGAGAACGCTGGAAAATTTGGAAGATTAGGTTTGTGCTATGGTTTGGATATTTGACTTCTCCAAACTTCATGTTGAAATTTGATCCCCAATGTTGGAGGAGAGGCCATTAATGGGAGGTGTTTGGGTCATGGGCAGATCCCTCAATAATGTCTTGCAGCCTGTCCTCACAGTAATGAGTGAGTTCTAGTGCTAGCTCTATTAGTTCCTGCCAGAGCTGGTTGTTAAAAAGAGTCTGGCACCTCCCCACTCTCTCTCTCGCTTCCTTTTTCACCATGTTATCTCTGCACACAGAAGCTCCCCTTCACCTTCTGCCTTGGTTGGAAGCAGCCTGAAGCCCTTACCAGAAGTAGATGCAGGTACTATGCTTCTTGTACAGCCTGAAGAACCATAAGCCAAGTAAAGCTCTTTCCTTTATAAATGACCCAGTCTCAGATATTCCTCTACAGCAACATAAACAGACTAAGACAGTTTAGAAATAAAAATCTGAAAGTTATCCAGCACATAGTTAAATGCATAAAAGTAAGAAGTGTGTCAGAAACAGACCCCAGTGAAATTCAACATTTAATGAGATTTACTTCCTTCTACTTCTCAGTCAATCACTTTTGCCTTACCTAAGTAGACCATCACTGTCCCCCATGCTGCTTACAGGACTGGCATATGACACGGCCCCAGGGGACATATTTCTATGTTTTGCTCCAGGGAAGGCCAACCTTTTGTCTTTATGACCTTCCAAGGCAGAATCACGTGCCTATAACATATTGCAAGTAAAGGCAAAAACTGCAATTACTTTTGCACCAACCTAATATTTTCCCCCATTTGCCAATTCAGTTCTCTCCAGTTCTTTAAACAGCCTGTGAGCTCATGGAAATCCTCTTCCATGAAATTCTCCTGCTGTGAACCACAGAATGGCAACATTCCTGAATATCCTCACCATCAAATAACAAATTACCAACCTGCTTTTCAAAATGTGAAACTCTTACCCTTTCTCAGTTCTTTTTCCAATTAGATACCTTTGTTTGTTGTTTACCCTTTAGATCAAATTTGGCCTGTCATAATGCAAACACCTTGTTGTCTGTTGCTATTTCATTTATTGTTTCTAGTGATGTATTTGCTCTGACCTGGTGCCTACCCTGAAGAAATCACAGCCTGCGTCAAGTAGAACAACAGACAGCCTGGATTTTCTAGCACAATTCTGTTGAAAATATTCACCCCATAATCAGGTGTTATGTCAAACTGTGCCTTTGGCTCAGGAAATGTTGTTAGGGCATGAACACTTGGCAGATTGCCTGGTATTGACAATTTAGGCACTTAATACATGCTTTTTAGAAATAACAACAAAGAAGCTTAAACTTCTAAAGTCTTAGCTTTGTCTAAAGCCCACAGGGCTTCTTTAGAAAGGATAATGTCTAAAGTCAACATTATAAATATATTTATGGTCTATATGCCAATATAGTAACTTCTCAGTGATGGATCAGTTAGGAATAAAATTTATCTGAGAACAATAGGAAGCCTGATCAACAGTTGCTTTTCCCCTCATAGCAAGTGCAAACATAGGCAGTCCCCCGTCAGCATAGCAACTGCTCAGAGTTGCCATAAAAGAGGGACCCAGGCTGCTCTCACCTGTCCATTCTGCCCTTCTTTGTTACACTGGCTTTTGTCCTCACACTTGTCATCCCATGGACAGTGGTGGCTGCTCCACTTCTAAGTTTCATGTCTCCGGGAAGATAGTAGCAAGAGGTCGGGAGTGGAGGGACAAGGGAAAAAGACATTTCTTGTACTGAGGTATTGTCATTTTATTCAGGAAGGGAAGTCCTCCTTAGTGATTTCACTTACATCTCATTGACCATCTCTCCCTACAAGGGAACAGAGAGACGGAGTTTGTAGTTTTACAGCTTCTATGACAGAGCTAGACAAATGAGATGAAAGAAATGAAAGTGGGAGTTGCCAATCAAGTACTTCAGACTTCAGAAAAAATCAAAACCACATTATTGCATCTGCAGATTTCCTAAAATCCTGTGAGCAACACATCTTACGCTAATTTACTTGTGCTGACGTTGATTTCCATTTGCATAATTCTTGGAGTGATCTTATTTCAAAATTTTCCACTCTATAATATATGAACAATATTACACTTCTCATTTATATGGTCTATTTTATCAAAGTAAACTAGGAAAAGGTTTGAAAATATTTGTACATGCTAATTCAGGTAACTGGATGAAAAAATATATTTTTGGCCATGTGTTATTTTTTAATTAGTTCCTGGAATCTTCCCCAGTGGTGGCAAGAATTTATTTGGTTGGCAAGCAACAGTACCAAAGACAATTTTACCTATCTTTCCACATTTTTGCCCTGTTTAGTATATTACATAAATTGGAGTTGCATATGTAAGGCCAGAGAATGGGTTTTGTCCAGGGTCTTTTTCATTGAGAAGTGCTTTGTCTCCATCTGGTGGACAATCATAACCTCACAATGTTAGCAGTTAGCGGACGCTCTGAAGCCTGGAGGCACATTAGGATCAGAGAGGTGCTTGTAAATAATCTAATACCTACCCCCTCCCCAGACCAACTGAGTCAGAGGGTGTAGGATAGAATCAGGCTTAGTATTTTTTTTAAGACTTGTAGGCAACTTTATTGTGTAAATAAGATTAAGAACCACTGAGTTAGAAAAAGCTCCAGATTAGTGATGAATATTGGACAATTCCTTGTGTAAGACTGCTATAAAGTAAAAAGAGCAATCTATATAGGTAAACTACATAATCTTCCAAAGGCCCTTTTACATCTTCCAGAGCAGAAATCACCAATGAGCGGCTAGCAATGTAAGAAATCTAAATCTAAATCCAAATTTCTTCCTGTGCAACTCTCCCTATAATGAGGCAGAAAGTGCTGTCAGAGACATACAAATACACACACAATCAGACTTGTCCCTAGGCCAAACTGTCAAGTACAGTCCATCTTTCATGTCCTCGGGTTCCACATCCATACATCCAACCAACCACGGATCAAAATATTTTTTAAATAAACTACGTAAATTTTAAAACAACACAGCATTAACAACTACACGTCACATTTATATTGTATTTGGTATTGTAAATAATCTAGAGATGAATTAAAGTATATAACGGGATGTGTGTAGGTTATGTCTAAATACTATATACCCTTTTATATGAGACTTGAGCATCCACAGGTTTTGGCATTTGCTGGAGTCCTGGAACCAGTGCACCAAGGAAACCAAGAGATGACTGCAGTTTCCATCTGATTTTGATACTTTATGTGTTAACAGGCAACTTTCTTATGTATATTCTCATCTAACCCTCCTTTCTTCCCGTGAATGCCAATACTTGCCAAAGAGCACAGGGCCCTCGAGTGCCTTCGGTGCCCGCTCAGGCACTGCTTTTTCCTCCATCTTCTCTTCATTAAAACTGACTTTGCCAGGATCTGCTTCTTTCTGAGCTCAACTTTAAAAAAAAAAAAATGGTCACAGATTTACTTAATATTCACTTGTCAAACACACAGTTGATAATCTTGAGGGAAAATACATCCAAGGCAAACATACAACTATAGGAGTTATACATGTAGCGTGAAAGGTCCATTTTATTATTTATTACATATTCTGGAAGACACACAAATAAATAGATGGAAAAAGGTCGTTGTCCTTTTTAAAAGTTTGTCAAACCAATTTCGATGGATAATGGCTCAATCTTCAAGATATAGTTGTTCCTCTGCTTATCCATGGTTCCACTTTCTGTAGGTTCAGTTACCCGTGGTAAACCATGGTTTAATACAGTCTGAAAATATTAAATAGAAAGTTCTAGAAATAAACAATGTATAAGTTTTAAGTTGTGCCCCATTTGAATAGTGTGTTGAAATCCTACGCCATCCAACCCAGGATGTGAATCATCCATACTATGAACACTTCCCATTAGTTCCTTAGTAGCCCTCTGGATTATCAGATTGACCATCAGTTATCACAGTGCTTACTTAATAAAGGTCCCAAAGTGCCACAGTAATGATGCTGGCATATTGTTATAATTGTTCTATTTTATTATTATTGTTAATCTCTTACTGTGCCTAATTTATAAATTAAACTTTATCATTGGTATGTTTGTATAGGAAAAATGTAATATACATAGGGTTCGGTATCTGCAATTTCAGGCATCCATTAGAGGTCTTGGGATTTATCCCCCAAGGGTAAGAAAGGACTACTGAATAGCAGGAAAGCAACCATAGGTAACATGTAAGTGGATGGACATGGCTGTGGTCTAATAAACAGACCCCTGGTCTACTGGATCATCGGTCATAGATAAGTACCTTGTCTTAAAATTTCCACAAAACACTTGAGAAACACTTGAGATTTAAAATCTACTTTTCTTTTCCCTTAAAAATTTCAAAAATGAGTTTTAACTTTAGCTGACTAATAACCGATAAACACATTACATCTGAAGTATGACTTTTTGGTGTTCTGATACTCATAGTCAATTTTTTATGAACATTTTAATAGCATATTGAAAAAGTCTTCTAAAGTAATGGTAAGAATTTATATTTTTCATGAAGAATCAATATGTCTGTCAAGACTAAGAGTAATAAAATTACTTGATGTAGGACTGAAACACCTGTTTTATTTTCCCAATCTAAACAAAATTTCCTTGACGTTAGAGTTGTCACTAGCAACAATTCTTTTTTTAATTGTTTTTGTTATTTATAACATGTAGCTAAAAGTATTCACAGATACATAGTTTAAAAAACAAAAAAAAGCCCGCAGAAGATATCTGCTTTTAGAAAATGCAGTTTGAAAAACATCAGGCAAATTTGGAGGATCATGTATTATTGTTATAAGTGAAGCAATGTAGGAAATAAAAACACAAAACTGGCATCTTGGTTCTGCATCAGTTCCTCTGACAAACTCTCAAAATAGATACTGTTTAGTAGAAAATGCACGTTTTACAACATTGAGTATCACATATGGGCTAAAGTGGGCTTAACATGCCACTGATGGACACACAAATTCAAGCCCTTTGTGTGACATAAATACAAGTACCAATTAAAGAAACGACAAATAATTTTTTAAATTGTCATCTTAGGGCAAGAACAGTCCCAAAATAAATGACGTATAGAGTGATGATACAAGTGGGCTAAGTCTTAGGATAAAATTTTCGTTCTTAAACTATATACCGCTAGGACATATACCACCTAACTACTACTGTTTCACAGGACTAGCAACCATCAATCATCTTCTTGCTAATTGGTATACAAACTGCACAGAAATTATGTATCTGAAATTGGGCCTCTAAATTTGTCTCAAGATTCTATATAGAACTTAATCATGCTGAATCAACACCATGGGTCCACTTGTTATTTTACTTGGATTTATGCCCTTAATCTACATGGAATGTATAATAAGAGAAAATTTAAAATGTGTATTAGAACGAAAATACTTAACTAATGAAATTTTAGCTAACTACAGCCAAAAAGCAATCATTTTTATTGTATGTACTATTAATTAGAAAAGACTATGCTAGTTCAAGACTTAGGTTCAGGAAGTCAAAATGGGCACCAAGTACTCTGTAGGCTGAGCAAGTCAGCAGGCAGCTGTTCTCCTTACAGTGCCTCAGTACACAGGTGCCACCGTCTCAGTGCAAGAGCTCAGAAAAGAAGCTGCAAGGTCAGAAGGAGTCTACTCCTCAGGTTGAAGAGACATGTAAATGATGCCTCACTCCACTCAGAAGTTACTAGCCAGGACACTAGAAAAAGAAATGGTGGATAGGAGGCAGGACTAACCTGCAGCTCCCACTCAGACAGAGCAGCATGTGGAGATTCACATAATGAATTTTTGCTCCAAGAACTACCACAGGAACATACCAGGAAAGCCCAGAGGATCCACGGATCCTTTGAAGGAAGCAGATTGCTGCTGCAGACGCCTGGAGACAGCCAAAACACTGTGAGTGCCCAAAGTGTGAAAGAAGGATCATCTGCCCCCAAACACACACCCTCAATGGGGAACCTGAAGGTCCAGATCACAGAAGAAGGATTTGACCTTACCTGGAGCTGAGACAAATTTAGAGAGCCAAGTGAAATACAGGTGTAGAAGAGGCAGCAGGAAGAGCCCTGTGGGCACGCTTGGTCCCCAGGGAAGCCATTTCTGATTGGTCTCACAGGAGTCCTTGGGGAGGGCTGCCAGAGGAACTGGGAAAAGCCCACAGGGAGAAGGAAACTTCCCGCTGAACTCTGTAACCATTTTGACCAAACACAAAGTTTCCTGGACAGAACTTGGCATAGGAGGGTGAATAGGGAGTGCAGACACAGCACAGAAGCTGCGGCAGGTGGGGAAGCACAAAACGTGAAAGCCCTGCCTGCTTTCTCAGCTGGGAGGCTGGTAGCCTGGGGCAAGTTCTCAGCCCTGTTCACTTGCTGACTGGAAATAAACTCAGTGCTATAGAGAGGGCACAGTAGGAGTGAGACTGGCCTTTTGGGCTGCGTGGGAGCTGGGTAAGGCCTAAAACTGCTGGTTCTCTCCCACTTCCCTGGAGACCTGCATGACAGCAGAGGCAGCCATAATATCTCTGGAAACATAACTCCATTGGCCTGAGAACCACACCCACATACCCAACAGCAGCCACAGCAAGCCCCACCCAAGGAAAGTCTGGGCTCAGATAGACCTAACCTTTCCCCAACCTGATGGTCTTTCTCTACCTACCCTGGTAGCTGATGACAAAAGACATAATATCCTGGGAGCTCTATGGCCCCACCCACCGCCTGATCCTTCCTATACTACCAGAGCTGATGCTCTCTTGCAAGTGCCACCTCCCGGCTGGAGGCCAACCAACATAAAACGCACAATAAACAAAACCACAACCAAGAACTCTCACAGACTTCACTTCACTCCCCTGCCACCTCCACCGTAGGTGGCTGGTATCCATGCCTGAGAGACCTAAAGATGGTTCACATCACAGGACATTGTGCAGACACTCTCCAGTAGCAGCCTGGAGCCCAGCAGCTCTGCTGGGTGGTTAGATCCAGAAGAGAAGTAACAACCACTGCAGTTCGGCTCTCAGGAAACCACATCCCAAGGGGAAGGAGGAGAGCACCACATTAAGGGAGCATCCCCGTGAGACAAAAGATCTGAAGAGCAGCCCTTGAGCCCCTGATCTTCCCTCTGACATAGTCTACTCAAAGGAGAAGGAACCAGAAAAAAACAATCCTGGTAATATGACAAAACAAGATTAACACCCCACAAAACATCGCACTAGCTCACCAGCAATGGATCCAAACCAAGAAGAAATCTCTGAATTGCCAGAAAAAGAATTCAGAAGGTCAACTATTAAACTAGTTAAGGAAGCACCAGAGAAAGGTGAAGTCCAACTTAATGAAATAAAAAAAAAATGATATATGATAGGAAAAGAAAAAAACTTCTGTGAAATAGATAGAATAAATAAAAGACAATAACAACTTCTGGAAATGAAGGACACACAGAAATGCAAAATGCACTGAAAAGTCTCAGCAACAGAATCCACAAGTAGAAGAAAAAATTTCAGACCTTGAAAACAAGGCTTTCAAATTAACCCAATCTGAAAAAGACAAAGAAAAAAGAATATATATTATATATATAATTATATATATAATTATATATATATAGAATATATAATATTCTATATTATATAGAATATATAATATTCTATATTATATAGAATATATAATATTCTATATTATATAGAATATATAGAATATATAGAATATATATAATTATATATTCTATATTATATATAATTATATATAATATTTATTATATATTATATATTATTATATAATATATAAAATAATATATAATATATTAATATATTAAATTATAATTATATAATTATAATATATATAATTATATATAAATATATAATTATATATAAAATTATAAAATATAATATATAATTATATACAATAATATATACTATATATTCTTTTTTCTCTTTTTATATATAATATAATAATTAATATAGTTCAATATATTATATATTATAAAAAATATATATGATGGAATACTATGCAGCAATAAAAAGGAATGAATTAACAGTATTTGCAGCGACCTCTATGAGACCGGAGACTATTATTCTAAGTGAAGTAACGCAGGAATGGAAAATCAAACATCCTATGTTCTCACTGATACGTAGGAGCTAAGCTATGAGGACTCAAAGGCATAAGAATGATACAATGGACTTTAGGGACTTGGGGGAAAGGGTGGGAGAGGGGTGAGGGATAGAAGACTACAAATAGGCTGCAGTGTATACTGCTTAGGTTATGGGTGCACCAAAAGCTTACAAATCACCACTAAAGAACTTACTCATGGACGGGCGCGGTGGCTCACGCCTGTAATCCCAGCACTTTGGGAGGCCGAGGCGGGCGGATCACGAGGTCAGGAGATCGAGACCATCCCGGCTAAAACGGTGAAACCCCGTCTCTACTAAAAATACAAAAAATTAGCCGGGCGTAGTGGCGGGCGCCTGTAGTCCCAGCTACTTGGGAGGCTGAGGCAGGAGAATGGCGTGAACCCGGGAGGCGGAGCTTGCAGTGAGCCGAGATCCCGCCACTGCACTCCAGCCTGGGCGACAGAGCGAGACTCCGTCTCAAAAAAAAAAAAAAAAAAAAAAAAAAAAAAAAAAAAAAAAAAAGAACTTACTCATATAACCAAACACCACCTGTGTCCCAATAACCTATAGAAAAATAAAGTTTAAAAAAAAGAATAGAAAACATTTGCCTTGTTACCTACTACCCCCCCAAAAAAAACTGGGCTAAGGACATGAATAGACAACTCTCAAAAGAAGATATACAAATGGGCAACAAACATATTAAAAATGCTCAACATCACTAATTATCAGGGAAATGCAAATCAAAACCACAATGCAATGCTATCTTACTCCTGCAAGAATGGCCATAATTTAAAAATCAAAAAATAAGAGATGTTGGTGTGTACGTGGTGGAAAGGGAACACTTTTACTCTGCTGGTGGGAATGTAAACTAGTACAGCCACTATGGAAAACAGTGTGGAGATTCCTTAAAGAACTAAAAGTAGATCTACCATTTGATCCAGCAACTCCACTACTGGGTATCCCTGAGGAAAAGAAGTCACTATATGAAAAAGACACTTGCACACGTATGTTTATAGCGGCACGATTCACAATTGCACGATTCACAATTAGCCTTCTGCTAAGAGAAGGCTAATTAATGGAAGGGAGTCGGGGGTAGGATTTAGAATAAATGCTTGTTGAAGCTCTCATGTGTTGGAGGATAAGAGGAACCATGCTATCGCTAAAATAAAGCCAATATCTCTGATGTGGTTGTGCAGAACTGCTTGGAGGGCTGCTGTATTAGCATCTGCTCAGCCATACCATCAGGTAATTAGTAAAAAAGACATGATTCCTATACCCTATCACCCGATAAAGAATTGAAAGAGGTTGTTGGCGGTAACCAGAATATTGTGATGAGGAAAATAAGTAAATATTTGAAAAATTGATTAATGTTACAGTCTGAGTTTATGTATCATATTGATAATTTCACAATATATCAGATGACAAATAGTGCTACTGGGATAAATATTGCGAAGAAGTAGTCTAGTTTGAAGCTTAGTGAGAGTTTAAGAGTTTGGACTGTCATTCAATGTCAGTTTGAGATAATGACTTCTTGGTCTGTACATATAAACAGTTTTTTAGTGAATTCAATATTTGGGGAAACTAGGAACTTTAATGTGTATGCAAAACTCTGACAGAGGCCAAATATTTTTTCAAAGGTGTTAGTCACCTATAATAAACGAAGGACTTTGAGGAATCAAATCAGCAAGTAAGAAAAATTCCCATGGAATGTCCCAGCTGGTCACACTTTGGGATTTGGTCAAAGCAACCTATATGCTCATGCATAAGCATATTGCAGCCTATCTGCTTTACAAAATATATGGAGAGGAAAGAAAATGCCCATTTTGATTAAACTGCAATCGCTGCAATTACAGCTGTAGTGATGGCTGAAAGCAGAGGTGAAGTAATATCTAAAGCACTTCTATCTTGATCCAATGTAGTGAAGGGAAGATCAAGATTAGGAAGGCCAGGCAGTCAGGAGGTGAAGTGCAATTTCATATAATAGATTAGGGTAACCAGGACATCTCATTTATTGTTTCTCCTTCGGGCTGTGATAATAGGAGATTCAGGTCAGTGAGAATATTCAGTATATTGGACTGTGACTTTACAAAAACCAATTGGACCAAGTGATGAACAAACTTTCTGAAAAACCATTGCGATAAAACATAATTTAACATGCCCACCAATAAATCATATTTTCCTGAATTTCTTTGAAGTTATTCTCTTGACTTTAATATTCTTAATCTCTCTTGAATGCTACTGAAGACTAAAAAATCATAATGAAAGAAGAATGCAGTAGCACATATCTTATTTCCATTTTTAGATATAAAATAAATGGCTTTCTTCTCTTGTGTTTTTAGATAGTGCTTATCAATTTTTGGTAAACATTTGCTAAGTGACTTGTAATCATATACAGACATAACCTTCTGTAAGAAAAAAATAAAATTTTAAACTTGTAAAACAGATTAGAAAGTGATTCTACTAATAATTAAAATTTATTTCCTTTACAAAAGGCTTCACAACAGGATTCCTCTAATGATCTTCCCCACGGCATTTAGAATTAATTCAACTTATACACCATTTCCAGTATCATCTATTGAGGTAGAATAGGGTCTGGAGGCAGGGAACCTAAGGTCGATTCAGACTTCCTAGAACTAAATCAAAAGTAAAACCCCAACTTTCCAAGCCCAAGTAACAAAGGGATCAGAGGCTACTCCTTCTGCAACCCCCGCCACTTTTTCTGTGTGGCAGATAAAAAATTGAAAGTACCTCTGATTGGTCCCCTTCTGCAACCAATCAGGCTTGTGGCAGGCCAAGTCTTCATTTGCATAGAGTGTAACTTTGTAACTTCACTTCAGCCTCTGATTGGTCATTCTCCACAACCAATCAGACGATGGCATATGGTGTAACTTTGTCACTTCAGCCTCTGATTGGTCCCCTCCCTCAATCAATCAGACTGATTGTGGGCCACTACTTCATTTACATAGGGTGTACACCAAGTAATCAATGGGAAACCTCTAGAGAGTAAACTCCAGAAAATTCTGTAACTGGTCTCTTGGGCCGCTTGCTTGGGCCTGCTCACATCCTGTGGAGTGTACTTTTGTTTTCAATAAATCTCTGCTTTTGTTGCTTCATTCTTTCCTCACTTTGTTTTTGTTTTGTCCAATTCTTTGTTTGATATGCCAGGAACCTGGACACCCTCCACCCGTAACACTATGGAATTTCAAATTGTCCCAAAATCTGCTTCTCATCAATTGAAATTATTAAAACTTGTATTCTAAAGTGAACTTTAATAAAATGCTTCAATTATAAATTGTATTTCTAACTCACCACATCTTATAATTCTTTGTCAAAAGATGTGCCTAAAAGTTTACCCACAACATGATCTCTTTTTATAATAAACATTAACTCTATAGCAAGGGGAAAAATATGTGCTACAAGCCAGAAAGTTTTACTTGGTAATGCCAGTTTTCTAATTTTAGCTTCTAGTCTCCAAGGAATAGTATCATGAGAGTGTGTGTGTGTGAGAGAGAGAGAAAATATTACCTTTTTCGGCTTTCTATTGAGGTAAAATGTCATACAATAAAATTCACTCAATTCGAAAGGACAGCTTAATTTTTATTAACTGTATACCCAACAATCAAAGTATAGGATAGATCCATTTCCCTAAAGGTTCTCATGTCCTTTGATCCCACATCCTGACCCCAGCCTCCAGGAAATTCCTAATCTTCCTTTTCTCCCTATAGATTTGCCTCGCCTTATGGCTTTAATTTGCATTTCCCTGATAACTAATGACTTCCAGTATCTTTTCATATGCATGCTGACCATTGCCTGTATCTTCTTTAGTGAAGCACCTATTCAAGTCTTTTACGAGATTTTCGTTGGACTGTGTTCTCATTACAATTTTAGGAGTTCCTTATGTATTCCTATACATAAATCTTTTGATAATGTATTGCGAAAAATATTTCCTTCCAGTCAGCAGCTTGTATGCAATGTGTTGTGTTTTTTTCAGGTTGCTGGAGATATACCTAATGCTAAATGACGAGTTAATGGTGCAGCACACCAACATGGCACATGTATACATATGTAACAAACCTGCACGTTGTGCACATGTACCCTAAAACTTAAAGTATAATAATAATAAAATTCAAAAAAAAAGATATTCTCTTTATGGGGTTTTTAGCAGTTTGACAATAATCTTCCTAAATGCAGTTTTATTTGGATTTATCCTACTTGGGATTTGCAGGGCTTCTAAGTCAATACATCCTCATAGGAGCTGGAAAAACTGTGGGCCATTATTTCTTCAAATAGTTTATCCTGCCTTATTTTCATTATTTTATCCTTCTGAATCTCCAACTACAAGTGTTAGCTCTTTTGATATTGTTCCACAGGACCCCAAGGCTCTTGTTTTTTCCCTTCAATCTCCTTTATTCAGATTGTATCAGTTGATCTGTCTTCAAGGTCACTGACACTTTCTTGTGACACCTCCCAATGTGTGGTTAATTTTATCTAGTGGATTTTCCATTTCATTATTTTACCATTCTATTGTACAATTCCATTTGTTTTTATCTTTGTACTTTCCATTTCTCTTTCCTTATTGCTTTACTCATTAAGATGGCATTTCCTTTATATCCCTGAACATGTGCATAATAGCTCCTTTAAAGATTTTGCAAAATTCAACATTTAAGCAATGTTAAGGTTTTTTCTTGACTGCCTTCTGTCTTTACTGTGGGATTTTCCTGTTTCTTTCCATACCTAATAATTTTTGAATATATACCATACATTTTAAAAGATAGTTGTCAGCCGAGCACTGTGGCTCACATCTGTAATCTCAGCACTTTGGGAGGTCGTGGCAGGCGGATCGCCTGAGGTCAAGGGTTCGAGATCAGCCTGGCCAACATGGTAAAACCCCATCTCTACTAAAAATACAAAAATTAGCCGAGTATGATGGTGCACATCTGTACTCCCAGCTACTTGGGAGGCTGGGGCAGGAGAATCACTTGAACCCAGGAGGCGGAGGTTGCAGTGAGCCAAGATTGCGCCACTGCACACTAGCCTGGGTGACAAGAGTGAAACTCCATCTCCAGAAAAAAAAAAAGATATGTTGTCGAAAATCTGCTTTGTATCTTCCTCTAAAAGTGCTGGTTTTTGTTCCAGCAGGCATTTTGACTACTAGCTGGTTGCTTTCAACTTAAGTAGGCTTAGTTTTATGCTTTGTTAGTGTAGATCTGTAAAAAGCTCAAGGTGTTTCACAAGTCCTTTTAATTTGGCAGGACTCACTCTGCAAATTCTGACTCCCTTGTGGATCAAGGCTTGATTTTAACGCATATTCTAGAAAGGGACACTTATTTACAGTATAATAGCTGAAACAAGAAGGTAGAGTGTTTATCTTATTCAATCTCAGCTGGGAATGTGCATATTGGGAACCTCAAATTTTTGCCACTGTGCACATATCCACAACTACAAAAGCACTGCATTAATTTAGGGGTTACAAATAGATTTTAGCAGGTCAGCAAATTTACAAATATAGAATCTATGAATAATGAAGACCAACTATGTTTTTCTAGATAGCATAATGAAAACATTTTAATGCTTTTAAAAGGCTGTGTTGATATAATGACTTTAATGGAAAATTTCCCTAAATATAATGTGTAGAGCTCCTAAACAAGAATCGAAGATAACTTGCCTTACTGACTCAGGGTCATCATTTTAATAATCAAGTCAACAATGCTAAAATTCAATAAAACCTTTTAGATGTATAAATGTATGTTCTTAAATTTAAAAGCCCCAGTTGGCAACAATTCTTAAGGTTTCTGCTTTATTTACCTTGTGTTTTTTGTCTCTTATTGGTGTTTTTTTAAACCAACAGCTCAATACATCTTGTTTGTATGACCTTGCAGAATTAAGTAAAGTTTACGGCTCTGGGTTTTCTCGTCTGTAAAATGAAGAAACTGTATTTCTAATGTCCCCCTAGGTCTAAATTCTATTTCTTTTCTAACTGTCACTGTTTTGGCTTCTAGATGCTCTCTCTTCTTCCTAATTTTCTATGTCTAATCTTCTGTGTCCTGAAAAAAAAATCAGAAAGCCAACTGTATTATTAAAAAATAAAAGACAAGAGGGGGTGGAGCAAGACGGCGAAATAGAAAGCCCCACCAATCGACCCCCAATAAGGATACCAAGTTAACAATTATCAACTATCTACTCAGAAAAAAACACCTTCATTAGAACCAAAAATCAGGTGAGAACTCATAATAACTGGTTTTAACTTCATATAGCTGAAAGACGCAGTGAAGAGACAAAAAAAAAAAAGTAATCCTGAATCACCTATGCCACCCTTCCCGCACCCCCAGCAGCAGCATGGTGTTGAGAGCTTCTCTGGGCACTGAGGAAGGGAGAACACAGAAAATTATGAGGCACTGAACTCAGTGCTGTCCTGTTAGAGCAGAAAGGAAAGCTGAGCCAAACTCCACTGACACCCACCCATGGAGAAAGCAATCAAACCAGCCCTAGCCAGAGGGGAACCACCAACATCAGCAGTCAGAACTTGAGTTCCTGCAAACCTCACCAATGCCAGCTACAGGACTCTGTGTCTCCAAGTAAACCTGAAAGGAAGTCTAGGCCATAAGGACAGCAACTCCTGGGAGAGTCTTAGTGCCAAATTAGGCCCAGAGACACTGGACAGAAGGGGCACGTGACATCTGGCGCAGCCAAGGGGATGCTAGCATAACCCCTCCCCTAACACCAGGCTACACAGCTCATGGCTCCAAAACAGACCCTTTTCTGCCACTTGAGTAGAAGTGAGAAAAGAGTGAGGAGGA
Organism: Homo sapiens; assembly: GCF_000001405.40. Taxonomy (NCBI): domain Eukaryota; kingdom Metazoa; phylum Chordata; class Mammalia; order Primates; family Hominidae; genus Homo; species Homo sapiens. The sequence continues at coordinate 89,781,364 of NC_000010.11, read as the reverse complement.
CTTTGTCTTGAATCTTGGATAGCAGCTCAGCCACAGCAGGACAGGGCCCTAGTCAGAGTCATGAGGCACCCATTCCAGGCCCTAGCTCCCAGAAGATATTTCTAGACACACCCCGGGACAGAAGAGAACCCGATGCCTTCAAAGAAAGGACCTATCCCAGCCAACATTCATCACCTGCTAACTGAAGAGCCCTTGGGCCCTGAATAACCAGTGCAATACCCAGATACCACAAGAAGACCCTGGGTGAATCTCTTGAGGCTTGCTGGCTTCAAGTTGAGACTCAGCACATAACCAGCTTTGGTGAGTATGGGGTAAAACTTCTGCTTGAGAAAGCACAGGGGAAAGTAAAGGGGACTTTGTCCTGCACCTTAGGTACCAGCATGGCCACAGTGGGATACAGCATTAAGTGGACCCTTGGGGTCCCCAATTCCAGAATTTGGATGGAATTTCTGGAACTGCCCTGGGCCAGAGGGGAGCCCACTGCCTTCAAGGGTGGGTCCCAGGCCAGGCAGCGTTCAAGACAAGCTGACTTAAGCTACCCTAAGCCTTAAAGGAACATCCGTGATACTCTGGCAGTACTCCTTGTGGCAGGGGGTGGTGAGGCTACGGGGTGAGGCTCCGCTCCCTTTGGAAAGGGGACAAAAGAGTGAGAAAGATTGCATCATGTAGTTTGAATGCTGGCTCAGCCACAGTACAACAGAATACCTTGTAAATTTCTAAGGTTTTTGACTCGAGTCCCTGATTCCCAGACAATACTTCTGGGCCCATCCAGGGTTTAGGAGCCCTCACCGCCTTCATGGGAAGGACGCAGGCCTGGCTGGCTTTGCCACTTGATGACTGTAGAATGCTGGGGTCTTGAGCGAACATAGGCAGTAACCAGGGAGAGGTTACAGCAGGCCTTGGGCAAGACCCAGTGCTGTGCTGGCTTCGGGTATGACCCAGCACAATCATAGTGGTGGTAGCCACACGGGTGCTTCTGTCATCCACTCCCAGCTCTAAGTGGTTCAGAATAGAGACAGACTCTGTATGTTTGGGAGAAAATAAGAAAAGGGAACAAGAATCTCTGCCTAGTAATCCAAAGAATTCTCCCAGGGCTTGTCTAAGACCAGCAAGGCTATACTGCTATAAGCCTGGAAGAACCACAGTGTTAGTGGGCTTCGGGTGCCCCCTAAAGTAGATACAGCTTAGATCACAACATCCAAGCCTTTTCAAATATCTGAAAAGCATTACCAAAGGACAGATACAAATGAGCCCAGACAGTGAATACAATAAATACCTAACTCTTCAAGGCCCAGACACCAAAGAATATCTACTAGCATCAACACCATCCAGGAAAGCATGACGTCAACAAATGAACTAAATAAGGCACCTGGGACCAATCCTGGAGAAACAGAGATACGTGACCTTTCAGACAGAGAATTCAAAATAACTGTGTTGAGGAAACTCAAAGAAATTCCAGGTAACACAGAGAAGGAATTCAGATAAATTCTGTAAGATAAATTTAACAAAGGGATTAAAATAACTTTTAAAAATCAAGTAGAACCTCTGAAGCTGAAAAATGTAATTGGCATAGTGAAGAATGCATCCAAGTTCTTTAATAGCAGAACTCATCAAGCAGAAGAATTAGTGAGCTTGAGGACAAACATTTAAAATATAGTCAGAGGAGACAAAAGAAAAAATAAAAAACAATGAAGCATGGCAACAGGATCTAGAAGACAGCCTCAAAAAGACAAATCTAAGAGTTACTGGCCTTAAAGAAGAGGCAGAGGGATAGAAATTCAAAGGGATAATAACAGAGAACTTCCTAAACCTAGAGAAAGATATCAATATCCAAGTACAAAAAGGTGATGGAATATCAAGCAGATTTAACTCAAAGAAGACTACCTCAAGGCATTTAATAATTAAAACTCCCAAAGGTAAAGGATAAAGAAAGGATTCTAAAAGCAGCAAGAAAAAAGGAACAAATAATATACAAAGGAGCTCCAATATGTCTGGCAGTAGACTTTTCAGTGGAAATCATACAAGCCAGGAGAGAGTGGCAAGACATATTTAAAGTGCTGAAGAGAAAAAACTTTTATACTGGATAGTATATCCAGCAAAAATATCCTTCACACATGAAGAAGAAATAAAGACTTTCCCAGACAAACAAGAGCTGAGGGATTTCATCAATACCAGACCTGTCCAACTAGAAATGCTAAAGGGAGTACTTCAATCAGAAAGAAAAGGAGATTAATGAGTAATAAACAATCCCCTGCAAAAACAAATCTCACTGGTAATAATAAGTACACAGAAAAACATAGAACATTATAACTCTGTACCTATGGTGTGTAAACTACTCTTATCCTAAGTAGAAAGACTAAATGACAAACCAATCAAAAATAACAACTACAGCAACTCAAGACATAGTCAATACAATAAGATATGAATAGAAACAACAAAAAGTTAATAAGCAGGGGTATGAAGTTAAAAAGTAGAGTTTTTATTAGTTTTATTTTTGCTTGTTTATGTAAATAAATAATGCTGTTATCAGGTTGAAATAATGGGTTATAAGATAGTATTTGCAAGCTTCATGGTAACCTCAAACCAAAAAAAAACATACAATGAATACACAAAAAATAAAAACGAAGAAATTAAATATTACCACCAGAGAAAAATCACCTTCACTAGAGGAAGTCAGAAAGACAGAAGACCAGAAAACAAACAACAAAATGACAGTAGTGAGCCCTTACTTATCATTAACAACATGAAATGTAAATGAACTAAACTCTCCAATCTAAAATACAGACTGACTGCATGAAAAAACAAGACCCATTGATATGTTACCTACAAGAAACACACTTCACCTACAAAGACACACACAGACTGAAAGAAAGAGAGGGAAAAATATATTCCATGCCAATGGAAATCAAAAGAGCAGGAGTCACTACAGTTATATCATACTAAATCAATTTCAACAAAATAACTATAAAAAAGAACAAAGTCATTATATAATGAAAAAGAGATCAACTAAGCAAGAGGATATAACAATGGTAAATATATATGAATCCAAACTGGCACATCAGATATATAAAGCAAGTATCATTAGAAGTAAAGAGCAAGATAGGCCCCAATACAATAATAGCTGGAGACTTCAACACCCCACTTGCAGCATTGGACAGATCTTCAAAGAAAATCAAAAAAGAAACATCAGACTTAATCTGTACTACAGACCACAAGGATCTAATATTAAACAGATATTTACAGAACATTTCATCCAAGAGCTGCAGAATACATATTTTTTTCTTCGGCACATGGAGCATTCTCAAAGACCACATTTTAGCTCACAATATAAGCCTTAACACATTCAAAAAAATTGAAACATCATCAAGCATCCTCTCTGACTACAATGGAATAAAACTAGAAATTAATAACAAATTTTGGAAACTGTAAAAATACATGGAAATTAATATGCTCCTGAATGACCAGTGGGTCAATAAAGAAATTAAGAAAGAAACTGAACAATTTCTTGAAACAAATGATAATAGGAACACAACATACCAAAACCTAAGGGATATAGAAAAAGCAGTTCTCACAGGGAATTTATAGTTATAAGTGCCTACATCAAAAAAAACAGGAAAAACTTCAAATAAACAATTTAACAATGCACCTTAAAGAACGAGAAAAGCAAGAGCAAACCACACCCAAAATTAGTAGAAAAGAAATAATAAAGATCAGAGCAGAAATAAACAAAATTGAAATTAAAAATACAAAAGATCAATGAAACAAAAAGTTGGTTTTTGAAAAGTTAAACAAAATTGACAAACCTTAAGCCAGACCAAGAAAAAAAAGAGAGAAGATTCAAATAAAATCAGAAATGAAAAAGGAGATAATACAACTGATACCACAGAAATTAGAGGCTACTATGAGCAACTACATGTCAGTAAATTGAAAAATCTAGAAGAAATGGACAAAATTCCTAGATACAAAAAACCTACCCAAGATTGAATCAGGAAGAAATCCAAAATCTGAACAGACCAATAAGTAACGAGATCAAAGTCGTAATAAAAAGCCTCCCAGTAAAGAAAACCCCGGGATCCAATGGATTCACAGCTGAATTCTACCAAACATTTAAAGAAGAACTAATGCCAATCCTACTCAAACTATTCCAAAATACAGAGGAGGAGGGAATACTTCCAAATGCATTCTACAAGGCCAGTATTACCCTGATACCAAGAATAGACAAAGACACAACAAAAAGAGAACTGCAGGCCAATGTCTCTGATGAATATTGATGCAAAATGACCTCAACAAAGTACTAGCAAACTGAATTCAACAATACATTAGAAAGATCATTCATCATGACCAAGTGGGATTCATTGCTGGGATGTAAGGATGGTTCAACATACACAAATCAATGAACATGCTATATCACATCAACAGAATGAAGAATAAAAACCATATGATCATTTCAATTCATGTTGAAAGGGCATTTCAACATCCCTTCATGATAAAAGCCCTCAAAAAAAATTCAACATCCCTTCATGATAAAAGCCCTCAAAAAGCTAGATATAGATGGAACATACTTCAACATAATAAAAGCCATATATGACAGACCAACAGCTAGTATCATACTGAATGGGGAAAAACTGAAAGCCTTTCCTCTAAGATTTGGAACAAAAGGATGCCCACTTTCACCACTGCTATTCAACATAGTACTGGAAGTCCTAGCTAGAACAATCCAAGAAGAAAAAGATACAAAGGGCATCCTTGAAAAGGAAGAAGTCAAATTATCCTTGTTTGCTGATGATATAATCTTATATTCGGAAAAACCTAGAGACCACAAGAAAATTATTAGAACTGATAAATTTAGTAAAGTTGCAGGATACAAAATCAATGTACAAAAATCAGTAGCATTTCTATATGCCAACAGCAAACAATTTGAAAAAGAAATTTAAAAAGTAATCTCATTTACAACAGCCACACATAAAATTAAATACCTAGAAATTAACCAAAGAAGTGAAAGATATCTATAATGAAAACTATAAAACACTGATGAAGGAAATTGAAGAGGACCCCAAAACATGAACAAATATTCCATGTTCATGGATTGGACAAATCAGTATTGTTAAAATGTCCATACTGCCCAAAGCAATCTACAGTTACAAGGCAATCCCTATCAAAATACCAATTACATTCTTCACAGAAATAGAAAAAATAATCCTACAATTTATATGGACCCACTAAAGACCCAGAACAGCCAAAACTATCCTAAGCTAAAAGGACAAACTTGGAGGAATCACATTACCTGACTTCAGATTATACCATAGAGCTATAGTAACCAAAACAGCCTGGTACTGACATAAAAGCAGACACATAGACCAATGGGACAGAATAACCCAGAAACAAATCCACACAACTACAGTGAACTCATTTTTCACAAAGGTGCCAAAAACTAACAATGGGGAAAAGACAGTCTCTTTAATAAATGGTGCTGAGAAAACTGAATATCCCCACGTAAAAGAATGAAACTAGACCCCTATCTCTTCACATATACAAAAAAACAAATCAAAATGGATTAAGATGTAGATCTAAGACCTCAGGCTATGAAACTACTATAAGAAATCATTGAGGAAAATCTCCAGAACATTGGCCTAGGCAAAGACTTCTACTAGAGCAATACCCCACAAGCACAGGCAACCAAAGCAAAAATGGACAAATGGGATCACCTCAAGTTTAAAGCTTTTGCACAGCAAAGAACACAAACAACAAAGTGAAGAAACAACTCACAGAATGAGAGAAAACATTTGCAAACTATCCTTCTAACAAGGGATTAATAACCAGAATATGTAAAGCGTTCAAACAGCTCTATAGGAAAACATCTAATAAACTGACTAAAAAAAAAACATGGGCAAAAGATTTAAATAGACATTTCTCAAAAGAAGACATAAAAATGGCAAATAGGCATGTGAAAAGGTGATCAACATCACAGATCATCAGAGGAACACAAATCAAAACTACAATGAGATATCATCTCACCCCAGTTAAAATGGCTTATATCCAAAAGATAGGCAATAACAAATGCTGATGAGGATATAGAGAAAAGGGAACACTTGTACACTGTTGGTAGGAATGTAAATTAGTACAAACACTATGAAAAACAGTTTGGAGCTTCCTCAAAAAACTACCATATGGTCCAGCAATCCCACTGCTGGGTATGTACCCAAAAGAAAGGAAATAGAAGAGATATCTGCACACCTATGTTTGTTACAGCACTGTTTACCATAGCTAAGATTTGGAAGCAAGTTAAGTGTCCATCAACAGATGACTAGATAAAAAAATGTGGGACATAAACATTCAGCTGTAAAAAAAGAATGAAATCCTGTCATTTGCAACAACATGGATGGAACTGGATATTACTATGTTAATAAGCCAGGCACAGAAAGACAAAGACTGCATGTTCTCATTTATTTATGGGATCTAAAAATAAAATCAATTGACCTCATGGGCATACAGAGTAGAAGAATGGTTACCAGTGGCTGGTAAGGGTACTGACGGTTGCAGGGGGAGGTGGGGATGGTTAATGGGTACAAAAACAAATAAGATAAAAAGAATGATCTACTATCTGATAGCACAATAGAGTGACTATAATCAATAATAACTTACTTGTATATTTTTAAATGATCTAAAGAATGTAATTGGATTATCTGTAATTCAAAGGAAAAATGCTTGAGGGGATGGATACCTCATTCTCCATGATACACGTATTTCACATTGCATGCCTGTGTCAAAACATCTCACATACCCCGTAAATATATACATGTACTATGTACCCACAAAATGTTTACAAAATAAGTGAGACATTCTAATTAAAGACTTGAGATCTTTTCTAAATAATGTATATACATGTTTTGTGATCTGTACACACTTATTCTCCAAATCCTAGCTATAATCCAAACAGATATGTAAAATCAGTTGTATAACAGATAAAGTAAAAAAAATTCATAAGACATTGTTAAATATAAGTAAACCAAATACCTGACCTATTACATCCTGTATAGCAAAATAAATGAGAATAACAGCCTCTTTCCTAGGATCTTCACTGATCCAATGTCTGAGATAATAGGGAAATACAGTTTGAAAGAAGCTATTATAAAAAAGCCTTATAAAAATATACAAATTTTGACTCATTTATTGAATTAAAATTATACTATGTATAAAACAGCAATCTATATGCAGAGTGATTTAATGCATAATATATACATTTATATTTACAATACAGGATGCAAGTTCCAATGACTATGACTATAAAATTTATATTAAACATTTCCATAAGTGATTTATTTGGCTGTTTTTGTTCGAAGTCGTCGTTTGATAATCTGGTGATCACTCTCCTTCATTTTCTGGTCCATTAAAATCTGAAATTAAAAATTTCATAGTTTTTCAAAGCTTGTAAGTGAAAATAAAAATAAAAGCTTGTTTATAATGAGTAAGACATGTTCATGTGCTTAGTAACTGAAATGATACATTGGAGAATTTTTTTTACTTAGACTACAGATATGCCATCTTCTATAAAAATTTATTTAAAAAACAGACTTTGTAAAAGATTCAACACTATCAAATTCTAGAAGTAAAATAACCTAGACTCCATATTGAATTCAAGGCAGATATAACTTAAAATAATTACTAAAATATTTGGAGACAAGTGCCTCAAATAATTTTTAAGAAATGATCTTTCGTGGCAACAAATGTATAACTTAGAAAGTAGAAAGCACATTATATAGTAACTAAGAAAACAATTTTCAGCCAAGGGAAGAAATCAGGTACTAATCAAACAGATGCTCAAAAATGACTGACAGAATGGTACTTACAACACCATGCCCTAATTTACCCTAACTCTTTACATCTTGCATTCAAGTGTCAATCTCATATCTGAAAGCTCTTGTGGCAAAAAAGGTTTCTCCTGATTTTTCTTGGCCACTTCTTTTTAATTTTTTTAATTTCTTTTAATTATTTTTTTACCTTCACTTTCATCCACTAAGCAAATGCAAGCATGACAGAAAATTTGAGCTTTCCCTGTGACAGCACATACTGTTCTGAATCAGGAGAATGAATCATAGACTCAGGGTGATAACTACAGTCTCTTCCTAATAGATCCTCAAAGGCTTAGGGGAAAGGTGGGAGGAAATGGCTGAATGTCAGTTTTATATTTTTACCAGGAACACTTGGGCCCAGATTTGTACAACTCCCGTGATTTAAAAAAGAGAAAGAAAAAGAAAAAAAGATTGTGGAGGCAAATAAGTTACTAAATAGTGACAATTCTATTATTGGAAATAAATTCCTCTGATGCATTTTCAAATGCAAATGCATGACGCTTATATACATTTAATACAGTATTTATATTTAATTAGTATAAACTTAACACATGTGAGACTAAAAGCATGACCTTTATAGCATGTGTTTTCAGAGATCTAAAGAATTGAAATTCAAACCACTGTAAAAAATTAAAAAGAACACGAACAGTTCTACATTGATGAAAACAGAAATACTAGCTTACCACTTGGCCTGATATATCAATAGGAGATGAAATTTCACTTGTGTATAATTTCCGTTTGGCTCGTTTTGGTTGAGACACATTTTCTTTACTTGCTTCTACATTTGAGAGCTTTGAAGAGCTCATTGTTTCAATTATCTTCTTTGCTATAAAATAAAATTGTTAATTAGTTCCTGAAATAATTTTCTAATTGCAAAGGTGATTTGAAATCCTTAATAAAGATGGTTTGAAATCCTTAATAAAGAATGAACATACACAAACTAAAAACACTGCAATATATATATGGTGAAAGGGCATGAATAGACAAATCACAAAGAAAAAAAGTAAATGTCAAGAGAACATGAAATAATGATCGACAGCAAAAAAAAAGCAAATAAAGTATCATTTGATTAATGTTCAATGTAGTAAAAAACCTCAGGCATCTTTAATGACTTGGAAAATGTTTATGCTATGTTAAGCAAAAGAGCAGGATATATACATAGTGGATCATGCAGCATTAAAAATAAGGTGGTAGATGATCTAGTTCAATGCTCATGCATAAAGTTATGCACAATGAATGCTGCATGAAAATACTTTGTAAACCCTTTACTTCAAGTCCACACACAAATGGAGAGAAACCAAACTGTTAACAGCTGATTGCTTTTAGGGAAGTAGAATAGGAATTTTTAAATTCCTTACTATGTACATAGTACATAGTACTTTTTTTTAATAGAAAACATATTTCCATGTGGGAAAATTCCTGGATAGAAATTCACACACATGTGATATCAAATATTTTTTTTTAAATAGAAAAAACATTTAAGGCATTAGACTAAATTGAGAAGACTACTTGTTAAGGGCTGAGCTGGGCTTGAGAGAGCTGAGAGTCCAGGTATCGGAGAAGCCAGTTAAGACAACAAGCCAAAATGAAAGTAACAACCCAGCTTTTTAACCACTTATTTCAACAGTATATGCGAGAGACTAAACCTGAGAAAGCACCAGCTCCTACCCACCCTCTTCTATAGTCCACCACAGAATAATACAGATCAGCATAGAAGTGGTGGTCATTTTACCACCCAGGCAGCCCCAAACAAAAGGCTCTCGCAGTTTTATAGACCTCAGGGCTGGAGGTTGGAGGGAGCTATACGTGGAAAAGTACCGAGTTACAGTGGAGAAAAGCGTCTTCAAGGTTCCCCCTCCTGTTCCCCTCCATAAGAAGGCCTCCACCAAAGGCCTCAATAAAGAGGCTCTGAATGGAGGCACTCAGGCTAAATATGCAAATATGAGTAAGAGCATGACTAGCTTGGGGGATGCTGGATCCTTGACTATAACTCCCTTAAGAGATTATAATGCATTGGCTATGCATCAAGTCTGGTGTAGGAAGGGAAGCTTGTCAGGTAAGTCTTTGTAATTGCCTATGGTACAGCCTAAAAAAAATAGAAATGTTTAAAAATCATACATATGTTGGCCTAGAGCCAAACTCATCACTACTATGTGCTAGCCACTATACTAAGAGCTGACAGTATGAACTAGACAGACATTTTGTCCGTGCAGATTATATTCTAGTGTAAAAGATAATAAGAAAGCAAAGAATTACAGTTTAAAAAGTGCTAAGACAAAAAATAGGATTGAATAATAAAGATTAAGTGATGCTGGGGATGAGGGGTAGTGACAGGGTGATGAAGGAAGGTGTCTCCCTAATAACGTTCCATCAGCTATGAGGGCTCAAGGGTAAGGGGCCAGCTAAGACAAAAGCCAGGGTGTGTTCCAGATAAAAGAAAGCACAGGAAAAAGCAAAAGAAATCAATGATATGAAGGTAAGAAAGAAGCTGGCAAATTCTAGGAACTGTCAGAAGTTAGCAGGATTGAAGCTGGCTAGTTATCAAACCGTAGAATAATAAGAGATAGATTGGAGAGAGTCAGAAATCAGGTCATTCAGAAGAATGAGAAATCATTAAAGGATCAGAGGAGTAACATAATTCAATCTGCACTTTGAAAAGAACATTCTGTCATGTATGAATGGATGGGAGATGACAAGAGGGGCAAGCTGGGAGACCAGTGATACTAAGTGATGGATTAACAGTGGTTATCAGAGCAGCAGAATTTTAAAAATTAATCTCCATTTTTTCTTTTCTCTCTATATTTCCAAGTGACCCAAAACAACAAATATGTATTACAGTTACAGTTCAAAATAGGGATATCTTATATTTCTAGAAATAAGTAAAAACAAAAAGAAAAAAGGAAAAAAAAAATGTATGTCAAGTGCATTGGTAGGGAAGCTGTTAAGGAACCAAGTCAATGAAGTAAGAGAATCATTACCCTTATCTGATTACATACTTATTATAGGTACCTACCTCTCCTTGAAAATATATTTCTTTTTAATATAAAAGTGGTAGTAAGCCTAAAGGACTCTAAAGAAAGATGTCCCTCCTCTCCAAATTTAGATATTTAACAGTTTGCTGTTTGTCCCTCCAGATATTTTCTGTTTATACAAACACATTTTTTAAATGTACATATTTTTTTAAATGTATGTAAATATACAAATGGGTCTGATAGGTCAGAAGTTCCCAAACTGTGTACTAAGGCATGCTGCAGCAAACTTACAGAAGCACCTCAGGATATTTTCAATCTTCAGGGAAAATAGTGATGCTCAATAGCCCAAGGTAGTTCAATTTCAAAACGATACTGAATTACATTTCTTTTCATTATGACATTATCTTTGCAATCTGGATTTTCAGAAGCTGAATTTTCAGTGGTTGTTTGGTCTTAAGTTCTAATGCATGAGACTACTAGTGGTTCTTTGGGTGCAGAGGCAAAATGGAAATTAATTACTGAGACATTAAGGGCACTGTGAACCAACAAAGTTTGGAAACGTCTGTGGTAAGCCTTCGACAAAAAGTATTTTCACACAACATATTTGATTCAATTTAACTGCCCCCTGCTTCTAGTTCCTTTCCTTCCCTATACCCCTCACTCTGGTCTCTAATTCATCCTATTGCTGTCATTCAGGTAACCTCACAAAAACCCACTACTCCATCTCACCCCTAAGATAGTCCTTCCACATTCTACATGCCAGATGTGTATTGCTGCCTGTAATTGCATGAACATTTCCTACATTTTTCTGATACTCCACCTGTGTTAAAACCATTCCTTCCGCATATGTGCACACATGTGTATATATCTTAACATATACACAGGTATCAATATGTCCACATTATATTATCAAGAAAAAAAGCACTAAGCATACTGTTTCTGCAGCTAAACTCAATAGGTATTTATGAAAATAATGTGTTTTTGACATATTGTACATAAACAGATAATGTTTACATATGCACAGAAAAAAAAACACTAGGAGGATATATACCATAATACTAATACTGGCAAACTTGTCCAACCCACCTTATTTTGTTGTTGTTTTTGTTCTGTTTTGTTTTGTTTTGTTTTGTTTTAGGCTTTTAGCGGCCTGAAGCCATGGTTTTTAGTTTCTGTCTCTAGTGATAAGCAGAAAACAGGGATGAGGAAGGGGATTTCCTGCCCCAACCAAAAACAGAAACTAAGAACCCATGACTGTATTCTCACCCTTGGACACCCTAGAGAGTGTACTCCTGCCCACATTTCAATACACAGGATAAATCCCATCTCTCCCATAAAAACCTTCCCAAAGCCCCCTAATCAGAGTAGCTCTTTTCCCTCCAATACTATCATACCTTTGCTTATACCCCTATTACTATATTAAGTAGCCTGCTCTGGATCAGTTACTTAAATACAAGCCTTTCTCTTCTACTACATAGCGAACACCTAGATCTATCATCCTTTTACATGTTTCTTCCCACAGTACCTAGTATAGGACAATGCCTATTTGAAGTATAATATTCCCTGAACAGCTGTTGAGTTTATATATCAATTAGGTATTAAAATATACCCAACATCTAACAAAAAAAGGTCATTTAATTAATTTTCTGCAAACCTTTTGATTGAAGAATTGAGGGAGAATGTTGTAAGAAGTCTCCAAATTTCTGTAGTGTTCCTTCTTTTTTCTTAGTGGCCAGGTTTACACCAATTATGGATGCCTGACTCCGTAAAGAATATGTTTTCTTAGATGATGGACGTATGGCAACCTAATAAACAAAACATTTTTTGTTATTGTTGATGAGAAGTGTTAGAAGGAAATAGTTATGGCCACAGCTGAATTAAAGAGGCCAGAGACAGGTTATGAATTCTCAGGTAGGAAACTTTAAGTATGTAAGGACAGGGATAAAAGGGTCAGACAATGGCAAAAAGAGTTTGACAGGCAGAGTGTTAAAGTCAGAAGTAAACACATAAAGTAGATGCTACTGGCCAAATGCTAAAGGTTACATTTCAACTGAATCAGATGTATAGGAAAGAGAAGATAAATGAGTTATAATTGAACACAACTGGATTTCTGGATAATTGCTACAATTTTGGACAAATTAAAAGACACACCTTTTGTTCCTTTTTGACAGAAGAATTTCTATCATCTGAAATAGGAAATTTCAAATTAGTTCTGGGTGTAGCATTCTTCTTATTTTCACATTTCACCAAGTCCTAAAAATAATGAATTTTAGCACCAGTTAATTTCTTGACAATATTTTATTTCTCTAGACTCAAAAAAGAAAATTTGTAAAAAGCTACATTATCACTTAAAACAGTGACTCTTAACCGAGGGCAATTTTGAACTCAGAGGACAATGGCAATGTTTGAAGATATTTTTGGTTGTCTTTGCCAGGGAGAAGGGGATATTATTGGCCACGAGTGGGTAGAGGTCAGGAATGCTGTTAAACATCCCTACAATGCACAGGATAGATAGCCCTTAAAACAAAGAGGTATACAGCCCACAATGTCAACTGTGCTGGAGTTGAGAAACCCTGACTGAAGGTGTGAATTTTTCAAACATATCACAAGTAATGAAATTACATAAGCTAAATGAAAAACATGGAAGGAATATCTTTTATTTGAAACTGAGCTTTAAAATACAGCATACAATATACCTACCTATTGCCTAACTCCCAAATAATACAAGCATCTATGTCTAAGTTCTCTCATTGACATTTGACAATATCAAAAATAAAATAAAAACGAAACTTCAAATAACCAAAGGTAAAATGTTAAAACTTTTAAAATATTATCTTTCTTCTCTACAACATGGGTATGGCATCTTACTCTTCTTTTCCCCAAATAACCTCACATAGGACAAAGCCCTTTACAGATATACTCACTGACTTGAACTGCTGCAAATCCTAGTTGTACCAAAGATAAAAGTTCAGGAAAAAGGGGGCAAGAAGAGAAGCAGAGAAAAGATCATGACTGAACCTCAGAATCCAAATTACAAAGCAGAAGTTATAAGGGTCATAAGAAGCAGACACCATGACAGGGAAAAGACAGATGGTAATCATAGGATGCCAGTGAAAAGAGACCATGAGGCTACCTCCACACATAGTGGTCAGTAAGGAGCTCTTTGGAGTCTTCACTGGATTAGAATATAGCCTGTCGGGGGGTGGGGGGCTAGGGGAGGGATAGCATTAGGAGAAATACCTAATGTAGGTGACAGACTGATGGGTGCAGCAAACCACCATAGCATGTGTATACCTATGTAACAAAACTGCACATTCTGCACACATACCACAGAACTTAGTAATTAAAAAAAAAAAAAAGAGTATGTGGAAGAAAAAAAGAAAATAGGATTGCATAAATGATTTTCATGGGGGCCCATGTACTTAGTTTATTATAGCAGTGAAGATTGAGTAAAATCAGTTAGAAAATTTAAAGTTTCTACATGATGTATCTACAACAATCTGTAAATCTTTTCTGAAATATACATGAGGGATATATGCCAATAGTAAAATTAATAAAATATTTATATTTTAACCTTCTTGAGAACTACACTCGGTGTTTCCTTCTTCGTTGAAAAAAAATGGATCAAGAAAAAGCCAACTAGATGATGAAACTCAGTGTTTTAATGTTATTTTAAAAAATTAAATAAATATAAAACAAAAGTTAACTAGTAAGACTCCATAAAACAATCTCTAAAGGTGTTACATGTGTAGCAGAAAAACTATGCTGAATAATATTCACTCAGCAAAATTATTACCTGACAGAGAGCCTCAGGAGTATAGTTAATACTATTTCTGCTCTTACATCAGCTTGAAAATATACTACTCTTCAAAGAAGTAAAAGAAAGTTGAAGAAAAATTATTTTGCTAGAGAGTTTGTAATTAGTTTTAAGCTTAAAACAAGTTACTTTAAAAATAAGTATTACTGATACCCTTTCTCCCAGTTGACTGCATCGGCTCCTGAGGCTTCTGCATTCTTCACGTAGTTCTTGAGCCTTGGCTTTCAGCTCCATCAGATCCTTTAAGCACTTCTCTGTATTGGTTTTTCTAGTTATACATTAGTCTAAATTTTTTTCAAAGTTTTCAACTTCTTTGCCTTTGGTTTGAATTTCCTCCTGTAGCTCGGAGTAGTTTGATCGTCTGAAGCCTTCTTCTCTCAATTTGTCAAAGTCATTCTCCTTCCAGCTTTGTTCCATTGCTGGTGAGGAACTGCATTCCTTTGGAGGAGGAGAGGCGCTCTGCTTTTTAGATGAAATGAATGAAATGAAGCGAGAAGGGAAGTTTAGAGAAAAAAGAATAAAAAGAAACAAACAAAGCCTCTGAGAAATATGGGACTATGTGAAAAGACCAAATCTATGTCTGATTGGTGTACCTGAAAGTGACGGGGAGAATGGAACCAAGTTGGAAAACATTCTGCAGGATATTATCCAGGAGAACTTCCTCAATCTAGCAAGGCAGGCCAACATTCAGATTCAGGAAATACAGAGAACGCCACAAAGATACTCCTCGAGAAGAGCAACTCCAAGACACATAATTGTCAGATTCAGCAAAGTCAAAATGAAGGAAAAAATGTTAAGGGGAGCCAAAGAGAAAGGTCGGGTTACCCACAAAGGGAAGCCCATCAGACTAACAGCGGATCTCTCGGCAGAAACTCTACAAGCCAGAAGAGAGTGGGGGCCAATATTCAACATTCTTAAAGAAAAGAATTTTCAACCCAAAATTTCATATCCAGCCAAACTAAGCTTCATAAGTGAAGGAGAAATAAAATACTTAACAGACGTTATTTCTGAGGGCTGTGTTCTGTTCCATTGATCTATATCTCTGTTTTGGTACCAGTACCATGCTGTTTTGGTTACTGTAGCCTTGTAGTATAGTTAAGTCAGGTAGCGTGATGCCTCCAGCTTTGTTCTTTTGGCTTAGGATTGACTTGGCGATGCGGGCTCTTTTTTGGTTCCATATGAACTTTAAAGTAGTTTTTTCCAATTCTGTGAAGAAAGTCATTGGTAGCTTGATGGGGATGGCATTGAATCTATAAATTAGCTTGGGCAGTATGGCCATTTTCACGATATTGATTCTTCCTACACATGAGCATGGAATGTTCTTCCATTTGTTTGTATCCACTTTTATTTCATTGAGCAGTGGTTTGTAGTTCTTCTTGAAGAGGTCCTTCAAGTCCCTTGTAAGTTGGATTCCTAGGTATTTTATTCTCTTTGAAGCAATTGCGAATGGGAGTTCACTCATGATTTGGCTGTTTGTCTGTTATTGGTGTATAAGAATGCTTGTGAAATAACGCCGCATATCTACAACTATCTGATCTTTGACAAACCTGAGAAAAGCAATGGGGAAAGGATTCCCTATTTAATAAATGGTGCTGGGAAAACTGGCTAGCCATATGTAGAAAGCTGAAACTGGATCCCTTCCTTACACCTTATACAAAAATCAATTCAAGATGGATTAAAGACTTAAACGTTAGACCTAAAACCATAAAAACCCTAGAAGAAAACCTGGGCATTACCATTCAGGACATAGGCATGGGCAAGGACTTCATGTCTAAAACACCAAAAGCAATGGCAACAAAAGCCAAAATTGACAAATGGGATCTAATTAAACTAAAGAGCTTCTGCACAGCAAAAGAAACTACCATCAGAGTGAATAGGTGACCTACAAAATGGGAGAAAATTTTCGCAACCTACTCATCTGACAAAGGGCTAATATCCAGAATCTACAATGAACTCAAACAAATTTACAAGAAAAAAACAAACAACCCCATCAAAAAGTGGGCGAAGGACATGAACAGACACTTCTCAAAAGAAGACATTTATGCAGCCAAAAAACACATGAAAAAATGCTCATCATCACTGGCCATCAGAGAAATGCAAATCAAAACCACAGTGAGATACCATCTCACACCAGTTAGAATGGCCATCATTAAAAAGTCAGGGAACAACAGGTGCTGGAGAGGATGTGGAGAAATAGGAACACTTTTACACTGTTGGTGGGACTGTAAACTAGTTCAACCATCGTGGAAGTCAGTGTGGCGATTCCCAGGGATCTAGAACTAGAAATACCATTTGACTCAGCTATCCCATTACTGGGTATATACCCAAAGGACTGTAAATCATGCTGCTATAAAGACACATGCACACATATGTTTATTGTGGCACTATTCACAATAGCAAAGACTTGGAACCAATCCAAATGTCCAACAATGATAGACTGGATTAAGAAAATGTGGCACATATACACCATGGAATACCATGCAGCCATAAAAAATGATGAGTTCATGTCCTTTGTAGGGACATGGATGAAATTGGAAATCATCATTCTCAGTAAACTATCACAAGGACAAAAAACCAAACACCGCATGTTCTCACTCATAGGTGGGAATTGAACAATGGGAACACATGGACACAGGAAGGGGAACATCACACTCTGGGGACTGTTGTGGGGTGGGGGGAGGGGGGAGGGATGGCATTAGGAGATATACCTAATGCTAAATGACAAGTTGATGGGTGCAGCACACCAGCATGGCACATATATACATATGTAACTAAACTGCACATTGTGCACATGTACCCTAAAACTTAAAGTATAATAATAAATAAATAAATAAATAAAAATATATAAATAAATAATACTATTAATAAATATTAATAGTAACTATTAATAAATAGTAATAATAGTTATATTAATAAATGTAACTGCCACTTGCAGAGCAAAAGCGAAGCATTTTCAACACATTAATCCATTGTTCCAAAAAGGAGAAAACAGGATCAGAAACCTCATCTGACTTGCCAAATCTCCACATCTAGGACATGGTAGGTTTGGCAACCCTTCAATCAAGAAACTGCAGTAAGAAGAGGTTAATAGCTTTTAGCCTACCACTACATAGAGGCCCAAATTTTAACACTGGCTGATGAAAAAAGAATTTCTCTTTTAAAACTTGCTAGGACCATACAGACAAGATTTTAGTTAAATGACAAAGATTATACACAAGCAAGTTAGCTATTTCAGTTTCTCTGATTTCTACATAACCCTCTTTTCTCTTCCAATACAGGGAAAGTGACTAAGTATGAACAGGACTGGTATACTGAAATGGCTCTCCAGTAAAATCCACCATCATTTGATGTATTATAGTTTAACTGAAGCAAGGACGCTATATCTTTTAATATACATAGCTTTTTATCTGAAGACCATTAAACCACAGTAATATTCTTTATTTTTCTGAGACAGTCTCGCTCTATCACCCAGGCTGGAGTGCAGTGGTGCCATCTCATCTCATTGCAACCTCCACTTCCTGGGTTCAAGTTGTTCTCCTGCCTCAGCCTCCTGAGTAGCTGAGATTAGAGGTGTGCACCACCACTCCTGGCTAATTTTTGTATTTTTAGTAGAGACGGGTTTTACCATGTTGACCAGGTTGGTCTTGAATTCGTGACCTCAAGTGATCCGCCAGCCCCAGCCTCCCAAAGTGCTGGGATTACAGGCATGAGTCACCACGCCTGGCCCACAGTGATATCCTTAAAGGGTATAAAATATAGCATAAATTGTGATTTTGGTCTCTAACAGCAGTGCCTATGAACAGGAGGGCAATATAGCAGTTTAACTCTATACTATAACAGCTTTATAATAAGATTTGTTCATTAAATTTACTCATCACTTAAGTATTTACCTCCTCCATTTCATTACTCTTCCTCTTCCGAGCCTTGGGAATCTTAACTGTCACTGGTGTGGTACAACCAGGGTGTTTCACTGCCATTTTGTTTGGCTGTAAAGGTGTAAATTGAATCTCTAACTCAGGTTTTGGAAATCGAGTGCTTTGATCATTTTCTGTTGACACTTCACAAGAGTCAAGGACTACAGATCCATCCTACAACAGAATGTAAAAGGAAAAATATTATTTGTAGAGTATACATTTATAAACCACAAAGAATTAATTCTCTCAAATGCCTATCCAAGACAATGCATTGGGAAAGACAAAAAGCGTGCTAGATCACAGCAAGAACAGAAAGATTGAGCAATCATCTACTTTCTTCAGGCTCACACATGGTATGTTAAAATTAGGGGTAACATCGCTATTTCCCAAACTTGTATGATCATAAGAATTACTTACAGAATTTGTTTAAAAGACTCCTGGACTCTACCACAAACCCAGTAAATCAGAAATCTCCAAGGGAGGAGGCTGAGATCTTTGACAAACAGCCTGGTTATATTAAAGAAGTAGGCTGCAAATACTTTGCTACTCTTCCCATTGAGAGATGGAGTCTCTCATTCCCCTCTATTTGAATTTGGGCCTTATAGCCAATAGGATGTGGTAGAAATAACATTATGGTCCTCTAAGGCTCAATCATAAGAAGCATTACAACTTCTGTCCTGTCCTCTTAGAACACTTTCAGGACACTCACCCTCAAAATGCCCCATCTCAGACCAGCTACCATGCCATGAGAGGTCCAATCCACAGGGAGAGACCACAAATTAAGTCCAGTGGAATTCCCAGAATCAACTACCAGTTAACTGAATTAATCATTTTGGACTTTCAGCCCAGTTAAGTATATCGATTACATGAAGGCAAGAACATACAAAATAGCCTAACAATATGATTCCCCAAATTGTGGAATATAAAATAACTGCTGGAATTAGAAAATTGGAACCAGGAGGTTTTAGGACAACATACATAAATTTATGGAGAAAGAAATGTTCCATTATATGTGTTTGTCCATGCAATCAAGAATTAAGCCTTGTTTATGGATAAACTTCAAACTTTTCTGTGAAATTTATGATTTGTATTAGTCCCCAAGGTTAGTGCTAATTATTTGAAACTACTAAGAACTGTCAAGGAAAAACCAAGAGAAAATGAATGGCTCATGTTATTTTCCCAGATTAAAATGTCCTTCTCAGTTGGCCATGGTGGCACATGCCTGTAGTCCCAGCTACTCAGGAGGCTGAGGCAGGAGGACTGCTTGAGCCTGGGAGTTCAAGTTCAGCTGCCAGAGAAACATAGTGAAACCCCATTTCTTTTTTTTTTTTTTAAGACTTTTCCTTCTCATTGTCTGCTTAATAAGCTTCCATTCATAAGATACAATATGGTATCACCTTCTTTAATCCATTTCCACAAACACTCAGGCAAAATTCATTTCATCTTCCTCAGTGTTCCTTGGAGTACTCACTTTATATTTCTACTATAACACTTAGCCCATGAAGTAAAATCAAACAAGTCATTCACTTATGTATCTACCTTACTAGATTCTTCACTCCTTGAGGATGACAATCATGTCTTATTGATGTTCGTATCCTCAGTGCTTAAAAAGGTTCCCAACTCTGAATGCTCCCAATAAATGTGTTTTAAAAAGAAATTTAAAAAGTAATTTTATCTTCAAAAATTTTAAGTAACATAGAATTTTTATCTATTTCATATCCAACCTAAGAATCTCTATATTATCCAAAGTTATTCACAGAACCCTAAGCCCAATACAAATTAAGGAAACTCACGAGTTGTTATTGAAGACTGGTGACAAAGCTACTAAATGGATACAATTCCAAAAAATACTATTTAACACAATGTTTATTAAAGCAACCTTTTATGAGAGCAAATTATCCCTATTTTCTCATTAGTAGGATTTCCTATTTCTGACCATCAAGTTTGTTTCTATTAACAAATCTACTGCTTTTAAGATGAGATTAACATCATTTGGGCATATAATCTCCCAAAAGAATTTCACCTCTCCTCAAAAGCCTCTAGTTTCTTTCACACAGCCCAGAGCACACACAGCTAATTGTGCAGTAAGGTATCTTCAGCAACTTACTTGTACGTGTTATTTAGTAATAGTGGATAAAGAGAATAAATAAGTGGACTGTGCTGCCAAATACCCACCTCTATTTTATTTCTGGAAATTTCAAAACTTGTCGATAGAGGTTCAGTTTGAAGTTTGTCAGGATCTGCTGAACTAATACGTTTGGGCTTGATATCCATGATTTGTGTTTCCTAAAGTAAGGAAATATTAAAGCAACAGGGCATTGTAACCTGAAAATATATTGAAGAAAACTTCACATAAAGAATATAAAATCAAGATTTGTATGAAACTAAACAATGGAAATTACTAAGTAAAGACACCTTTAATTACCACCTAGCCCTCCTATTTCTCTTTCAACCTCAGATACTCAGGAAAGGCTGGGTCACTTTCCAGTTTATTGACTCTGATCTAAGGAGAAATTTGAAAGACTGCTTGCAACTTCCAAGTGTTCTGCCCACATTCTCTTGCTTTACTTTCATCGCAACTCTGCAGGTAGGTCTGGCAAAAATCATTATTCCTACTTTCCAGATGAGGAAATAGAGAACGACACACGTTAAATGGCATGGTCAAGGTCTGTACTGAGTTAGAATTGCTCAGTATCCCAACAGTTGCTTTTGATAACACAATTTTGAAAAACTGGAGGCTTCTCAGGAATGCAACTATAGCATTACAGTACAAAAGACCATAAGGAAAACTAAATCTTTTCTTGCAGCACATTCTTCCTCCTATTTTCTCAGTCATAAAGTTCTATTTCTAAACTCTACTTAGGCGATTTATAAAGAAATAGATTACATTTTTAAACTTAATAAACTGTAACACAGACCTCCTCATCACAGCCATCAAAATCAAAAGTCAAGTAAACCTCTTATGTCACCTCCCCATTACTGCCAAATAAGAAAGACTCTACTGAATTCATAAAAGGGAAAGTAACTAGCATATATTGATTTCCACTGGAGTAAGAACTGTGCTACTTGTTTTACAATCTTCATTAATTTCACAACTCTGTTAGGAAAACACTATTACCTGTTTTAGATAAAGATCAGAAATGTTAAGTAATTCTTCTCAAAGGTCCCAAAACCACAGCGACAGCAGTTGATACCTAGTTTTTCTGACTTTCTAGGATATATTATTAAACAACACAATACTACCTCTTTTTAAAGCAAGTAATCTCTCTTACAATAATAGTCTTTTGATGTGACACACACATACATATTTTTCCTATTGTCTGAAGGCTTTAAAGCAGAAGATTTTTAAGTACAGATTATTCCAGAAAGACTAGCTTCAGATGTACCCAGATTCTATTTACTGGGAAGCAGCTATCTGTAAAAGGCAATTCTCTCCTCTTTCAGGATTTCCAGTCTCAAGGTAATATAAAAGTAACAGCTGAATGACTCATAATGTCTCTCTACCATTAGGCTTACTTTCAAAATAATTTGTATCTTTATAAAATAAAGTTAAGGATGGGCCCAAGTATTCAAAATCACCAAGAGTTCATGTTGAATCACATTTCCATATTTTAAACGCAGACTGGGGACTAAACCATAAATTGTTGATTTTCTAATTACTCTACCAAAGTAATTAGAAATACTAATATTTTCTAATTACTGAGAGATATAACCAAAATATTGGAGAAAATGCTACATCTCAGTCATTGATTGACAAATCAATCTTAATGATAAATTTCAAGACTCTAAATCATGAAAAATTTCCACATTTTAAATACTCTGATTCCTTTTTGGTCTATTGAGACTTACACTTTTTTATTCTTTAAGAGTTAGTCAATTAAGTAATTACTATGTTCAATTAAAAAGGCATAGCAAAAAAGACTACTGACTATTTTAGAAGTCTCTGATATGATCCTTTTTAGTTGTTCAATTTCATTATCTTTCTGTACATTACTGGATATCAGTGCTTTTAGCTGTATTTCTAAAGCTGCAACCAGTTGATCTCGTTCTTCTCGCCACTTTTGAAGGTCACTATCTTTCTCTGTCAGCTGGGCTGTCAGTATTTCCTAATCAGGAAATAAAGAAAATATTAAAATCAACCTTGATATATTATGAATCTAAGAATGTTTAGAAATTATTATATGTAACACCATAAATATAGCTGCAAACAAGATTACAAGACAAATTAAGTAGTCTAGATAAAATATTTAACTATAAAACAACACATATCATTTTATAAATTAAATGTCCATGTTATTTTTATCCATATCCCATCTCATTCCAAAAATCAGCTTACTGGTAACTTCTTTCAATACACAATTACAGCTATAGCTTTCAAACTAGTATCAACATTTCTGCCAACGTTTGGAAAATTAGTGGGTAAAATTACAGTAATAGCAACAAACAACAGAAAAATGAAAACAGAAAACAAGACCATTTACAATAGGTTCAAAAATCATGAAATACTGATAAAGAAAATGTATAAAACCATAAAATACTGCTGAAAGAGATTAAAGAACACCTAAATAAATAGAGAGATTGGTCTGTGTTGAAGGATCAAAATACTCAATATTGTTAAGATGTCTCCTCCAAATAGATCTAGAGAGTAAAAGCAGTTTTTATCAAAATTCAGGTATGTGTGAATGTGTGTGGAAATGGAAAAGGTGACTCTAAAAATTATATGGAGATGCAAATCATCTAGAATACTCAAAATTATTTTGAAAATGAAGAACAAAATGACAGCAATTATCTATAATTTCAAGTTAGCACAATAATCAAGACAGCATGTAAAGACAGAGAAATCAATGGGACAGAAGAGACGATCTACAAATGCATGGTCAACTGACTTAAAAAAGTGGCAAAAAAATTAAATAAAAGGAAGGACAATCTTCCCAATAAATGGGGCTGGAACAACAGAATAACCAAATGAAAAAAAAAAAGAACCCCAACCCTAATCTTACAACACATACAAAATTAACCCGTGGGCAAATGATTTACGACAAAAGTGGCACAGCAGTGAGAAAGAAACAGTCTTTTCAATAAATATTTCCACATCAATTGGTAATTCACATTAAAACAAACATCAAGAGCTTTGACCACTATCTCACACCAACACAAAAATCAATTCTAGTATCTAAATATGAAAGATAAAAAACTTCAAAGCTTTCAGGAAATAATATAACACACCATCTTCAAGTCCTTGGGCTTCATAAAGAAAAATATTGGGACAATTATCTACAATAATACTAATAAAATTATCTACAATAATTGTAATATCTACCATATCTACAATAATAATTTATGAGAACTCCTACTCATAAAAAGGCAGTAAGAAAGAAAAAGCAAACTAGAGATAGAAAGAAGGTACTTGCAACACATTACAAAAAGGGCTTCTATCCCGAAAAGTATAAAGAATTCCTACAAATAAGAAGCTAGATAATCCAACAGAGAAACAGGTAAGGGAACTTGTATAGGCACAGCCAATAAACAAATGAAACAATCTTCAACTTCATCAGTAATTAGGGAAAAGCACATTAAAACCATTTTAAAAACTGACTGACAATACCATACCTTGGTGGGACTATACAGCTACTGCAACACTAGTTGGGGTATAAATGGGTACAACTGCTTCGAAAATCAGTGCAGCATTCTACTAGAATTTCACATATATATACCCTATCATCTAGCAATTGTCATGTGTGTATATATATATATATATATATATATATATACACACACACACACACACAACAGAGATATATGCAAATGTGCACCAAAACAAATGTATAAAAATGTTTATAGGAAAATTTATTCATAACAGCCAAAACCAGAAAACAATCCAAATATCTTCAACATTAAAATGAATTAGCAGTGGTTTATTCATACACTTAAATATTCTGAAATGAAAGTGGACTAACTCCAGATACATGCATGGAAACATGGATGATTCTCACAAACATAAAATAGTGAATGAAAAGAAGTCAGGTACAATCAAATGTATTCATATATTTCAATTTACATAAAACCCAAAAACAGACAAAACTGAAGTGTAACACTGAAGGACAGATTAGTTATTACCACTGGAAAAGAGGCAGAAGAAGGAGCTTCTGGGGTGGAACAGTGTTCTCTTCTTGAAATAGGTATTAGTTAAGTGGGTACTGGCTTCACAATAACTCACTGAACTATGTTCTATTTCCTTTCCATGTTATATGTTACAATTTTACATCAAAAATTAACATTACATCAAAAATGTGTTTCTTAAGTATGGCAGACACATACACAACCTAAGTATGATTATAAAGAAACATATGAGAGAAAAGAGTAAACTAGCTTTCCCTAGGATTAAAAATTCAAAGTGGGATTACTTGCTGGCATTGCTACCAGAGAAACCACTGGTTTGGAATTGGAGCAACTGTGACAGCCTTCTGTTTTGATTTTACTTATTGCCTCTTACTACTGGGTCAGGAAGGTTGGGTGATAGGTATACAGGAATTCTATGTGCTAGTTCTGTAACTTTTCTGTAAATAAAATGATTTCAAAAAATTTATTCTGTAAATAAAATGATTTCATGAAAAAGTAAACTTTTTTATGGGAGCAAATTTACACCATGTGACATGAGGACAGAGCATTCAATGGTAGACTCTCTAGCTTCAGAAAGGACACACACTTCAACCAAGGGCTTGATTTCTGGAGTAGAATACATGTATGGTCTGGAGTTTAGCAAGCATGCTGGAAAGTTTAGCTCACAACAGCCTCATTTTAATAAAAACTGGCCAACTCTGTTCAATATTCAATGTTAAAAGCAGCTTTAAAGCTAGGGAAGAAAAAAAGTGGAAAAACTGTCCTTACCTTATTGAAAATTAACATTTCAGGCCGGGTACAATGCACAGTGGCTCACACCCATAATCCCAACACTTGGGGGAAGCTGAGGCAGGAGGACTGCTTGAGACCAGGAGTTTGAGACCAGCCTGGGCAACACAGCAAGTCTCTGTCCCTACAAAAAATAAAAGATTTACCTAGGTGTGGTGGCATGTGCCTGTAGTCCCAGTTACTTGGGAGGCTGAGCTGGAAAGATTGCTTTTGCCCTGAAGTCTGAGGCGGCAGTGAGCCATGACTGCACCACTGCATTCCAGCCTGGGTGACAGAACAAGACCTTGTCTCTTTAAAAGAGGAAAGAAAAGGGAAAGGGAAAGGGAAGGGGAAGGGGATGGGCACGGGGAAGGGAAAGGAGAAAGGAAGGAAAGGAAGAAGGAGGACAGGATGAAGAAAAGGAAGAAGGAAAGGAAAAAGGAAAGGGGAGGGAGGGGAGGGGAGGGAAGGAAAGGGGGGAGGGAAGGAAAGGGGGGAGGGGAGGGAAGGAAAGGAGGGAGGGAGGGAGCAAGGAAGGAAGGAAGGAAAGAAGGAAGGAAATCTTTCAGTTTTTATAGGAAAGTTTAACTGTTTTTAGTCAAATGCAGTCATAAAAAAAGGAAATGCCAACAGATGACAATATGATACTGCGAAGTTACTATTTTTATAGACACTGGTTTTTCATTTTAAAATATTTGTTGCTCAATAGCTTTCCTCGGATTAACGATAACGTTTAGCTTCTTTTTTCTGATTGCCAACATGGCATGTCAGACTAAGTGCCAATTAGAAAAAAAGAACAGGCTAAGACAATCATTACAAGACCTACAGCTAGTAAATGTAAAACTGAAGGTCATTTCTACTATATATATAGTCTTTTACAAACTATTTAGGTGACTTTATGTGATAAAATGTACACAGTATTAGAATCTACAGTTCAAAATGCAGAAAGTTTTAAAATATAATAGGGAATACTCTGTAACGGTCAAAAGGAAGAGATTTTTTACTTCAGTATCTAGACAGTAAGAAGCAATAAGGTATTCTCCCAACATGCTAAATCAACTGAAACAAGTTAAAACAAGAACATTAGTGAATGTCAAGATAAATTGGCTCAGAAGTTATCTTATAAAGATGACAACCTGCCTTTAAAAAACCAAAAACAGAAAACCATGTAGAAACTGTTAATTCCAGCAATACATTTAACACACCAAGGAAAGTAGGTGAAATACATCAAAGATACAATTGTTACTAACCATTTCATTCTGTTGCTTAAAAAAACGCTCCCTGTCCTCAGCATATTTTTTCATCTCTTTATTTCGTATATTCTCTGCTTCTTTCGCTTGAGTGATAAGCATCATTTTTTCTTCTAACCATTTCTTTCTATCAGCATTATATTTCTGTTCAGACTCCTGTATATATAAATGGTATAAGTTATTATCGCATGCCTACAAAGTAGTCAATACATGTTTCTATAACATTTTCATACAATCCATTACTTTTCACCTCTATAAAAACTTTAATGTTTCACTTTAAACAATGACAAGATCAAAGCTTCAGATTATTTAAAAAATAATAAAATAACTGGTTTGCTTTCCTAAACGCATTTCATTTATAAGTTAATTTTGCTATGAAGTCCATTTAAATACTTTTATCAGTGACCTTAAGAAAAAATAAATAATTCAAATTTCTGAAACAGTTAAACTGACTCAAATCTTCCTAAATGCCAAGAGAATAAAAAAGACTTTGTTTGTGGTGGTCATTTCTAACTGGATGGTTCTAAAAATAAAATATTCCTGGGCCTACGAGATGCCAAATAAAAAATAACTTGTGCAACAGGATATTTATTAAAAGAACATCCAGAAGAGCTGGACAGAGAATACTGCTGATCAGTAATTTTCAAACTGGTACCACAGATTCTTTGGGTTCAGAGGCATTTAATAATATATATAAAAAACCCAAGTAGAACTTCATTTGAAATAAAAATAATAATACCACTTAAAAAACTTCTAGGCTGGGTGCGGTGGCTCACGCCCGTAATTCCAGCAGTTTGGGAGGCCAAGGTGGGCGGATCACGAGGTCAGGAGATCAAGACCACCCTGGCCAACATGGTGAAACCCCATCTCTACTAATACAAAAAAATTAGCTGGGCGAGCTGGCGTGTACCTGTAGTCCCAGCTACTCGGGAGGCTGAGGCAGGAGAATCGCTTGAACCCAGGGGGTGGAGGCTGCAGTGAGCCGAGATCACGTCACTGCACTCCAGCCTGGCAACAGAGCAAGATTCCGTCTCAAAAAAACGAAAAGAAAACTTCTAAAATCACTATATTACAAAGTATGGCAGTCCATTCCAGGATTACAAAGTTTATAATCTACACTAATGTGATTACATCATCTTAGAACAATGCAAAATACACAAATACTTTTTAATGCAAACATTCTCAATACGGTTGATACACTTTTTTCATAATATTTATTTTGTTCTAACTGCTTTTGGAATTTCACAATGAAAAGGGTAAATTCTAGAATATATAATATGTAACAAAAAAAGTAGTTTTTGTATTTGTTTTCAGCATATGTTTAATACACAGCCAGAATTTTAAAAAATTTAGAGGCAGACAATCTCCCAAAACTATTATGTTTCCTTCAATCCTACAGCTTCTGTTATGAATGCCACTTCTAATAAAATGTACAAAATGAAATAGTATTTGGTAAATCCTACGAAAAAAAAAGTTTCCCCCATATGTTGTATGTTAAAGCTGAACAAGAAAAAAACACACACACACAAAATAGAATACCTTCTATATAGTATAGTTTTATATGTGTTCAGATATACAATTCTATTCCAATAATTAAACTTTGAAGAGATTTAAAGTAATCAAAATAATTCTCCTGATGGTCATTTTCTCCACAGCAGTATTTGATGAGTAAGAAGTTTAAGGAGTAGAAAAATGGGCACAAGGACATTAGAAGCAGTGGTTTATGAATTAAATATGTGAAACATAAAACTAAGGACCCAATCACTATATTTCACTGGCACTTAATAGGCTATATCTTGGAATTTCTTCCCCATGTCATTTCAATGTGCACTGAAAAGTTATATTTACATATTAACATTTGCCAGGTATTATTTCACCCATATCTAAGTGAATTACTAAATATAAAATACTGAATTCTCCTCTTATTAGAAATATAATGAAGACAGATACATTCATACATAAAAACATACATAAAGTCATACCTGTAACTCATCTTGAAGATTAGTGAGCTTTCCAAGCACATCTGTGTTGTTCTCATGTTCTTTATTTGACCTTTGATTGTTTTTGGTTTCCAAATCATTGCATTTTTCCTTCCATTTTTCCAATTCTGATTTGAAGACATAAAATTATGTTTTAAAGCATATGCAAAAGTTATACCATGTAGAGATACACTTGACATGGGCTACAGACACAAATCAGTAGAGCCCAGATAAAGAACACAGACCAAGATGGAACTGAGGCTATTCTATAGTTTAACTTTTAGGAGTTCTTACTAAATTCTTAGTGAAGAGGAACTACAGGGACTTCTCAGGAATCCAATGAATAGTATTCACAGTATAGTATAATAAATTCATTGTCAACCTTATTATATAGAAAACTTCATGCAGTCCTCAAGAAAAAAGTTTTCTATGCCCATGAAAGTGGCTAGAAAAGTATGAAGTCACACAGACTCAC
This sequence comes from Homo sapiens, assembly GCF_000001405.40. Taxonomy (NCBI): domain Eukaryota; kingdom Metazoa; phylum Chordata; class Mammalia; order Primates; family Hominidae; genus Homo; species Homo sapiens. Next base: position 89,752,219 of record NC_000010.11, on the reverse strand, counting down.
TGTCCTCATCCTCATCACAATTTCATCCACCAAAATACAGTTATAATAGAGTTTTAGGGTTTACAAAGTACTATTACATTTTTTCATCTCATCTGATCTTGATAAGAATAATGTACAATATGAATCTTCAAGTCAGATGATTTTAAAAAAAGAATAATGTGCAATAGTACATATGGCATTATCATCATCAGCCACATTTTACAAATGAGGAAAATTAGGCTGAGTAAGCACAAGTACCCTGCCAAGGTTATATATAAAATGGCTAGACAATTTCTTAATTCTAAATTTCTTGCCCTTTCTACAAGAATCACACATAACATTTTTATTAGTAAATGTTATATTTTTCCATATACTCTAGAAAAACTCTGATGGTATTCTGAAAGCAATGAAATCAAAGTATTTATTGAGATCAACATACAAGATAATGCTAAAAGCCTGACAAAGGTGAAACTCAGTTGAAAACTTACTCTTAACATCTAGGGAACACTGCAAGTTATCATCCATAACTTGCAATATATAATTCGTAAGTTATCATGCAGTGTCCTTACTCCTTTACTGCATATAATTTTAGTGAAACAATTTTCATCACAGTGGAAAATGACAAGTAATAGGACATTCAAAAAACACCAAATACTTTTCCATTATCAATCACTGAAAATACGTACTACTTTAACAAGGGAAGAAATCTAGGAAATTTTTTTTTAAATGAAAAAGTATATTTAGAGAAATGTAAGCAATCTTGTTTTACCTGTGGCCAGCCTTTCAACTTCCTCTAATTTAGCCTCAAGCACTTGATCCTGTTCTACCTGAGTTTGTTCCTGTTCTTCTAGTGTCATTCGCATGTCTTCAATTATTTTCTCTTTAACATTTAGATCTAAAAATCGGGGGAGAACATTTTAGAAATTAATAGCCTCTAGATATCCAATTTTTCTTAAGTTCTTCTAAAATTAAAATACATTTTTATTAACTGTAATAGAATATTAGTTCCATATAGACAGAAACTTTGTCTTATTCATCGCAATATCCTCAATGTCTACAACAGTACTGGTATATATGACATACTAAATATATATTTGGTGTAAAGATGGATGCTTGGATGATTGCAAGAGTGGATGAATGGAAAAAAGTTTTTTCAGGTAAAATTAACAATTTCTAATACAATTAAACTATTCCGATACAACTAACTATTACTATGAACATAAATCTTAGGATTTAGGGGGAAAAACCATTATTTGGCAAAATACTTATTTTCAGTGTTAATATTCTCCAATCAAACTAAAACCTTTACCTCCTAAAACTAAAAAAGCTCAATCCCAATTTGAACTATTTTTTTTAACATCAAGTAGTTACTTTTTCTAGAAAAATATTCAGAGTCAAATATTTGTTTCTATTTTAAATTTTTATTTAAAACCAGCTCCTCAGAAATGGCTTTTGAAAAGCTAGTAATAACAGCCTTCCTAAAATTGTTTCTGGCCCTTGAAGAATGACTACAGCAATTACTTGTAAGCAACTATATATTAACCCTGTCTGCAGGAAACGGATAAAGAGGGAAGATCAGTTTGTTGCCTCTGGTGATGGCACCTAGTAGCAGGGCTCATTTCAGAGAACTCTTACCAACTATTACTGATGTCAGAGGTGATAAAGCTATAAATGCATAGCTCAATCTCAGGCTGCTTTTAGTAACACAAATACCCAAAGATGGCTCCCTCAAAGTGCACATAAAACAAAGGTAAAACAAACTAAACAGTAAGAGAAAACTGTATGAGCAGTTTTTAGTATTTTTCCATTGATGCAGGCTTTCAGGTGTGCTAGTAAAACAGAATTCCTCCTAGGATTAAAGTCACCTTCATATTATCATATAAATCTCTTTCAAAAAGCATGATTTTCAAATATATTCATATTACACAATTAATTATAATTTTATTCAAAGAATTCCCTCCCTCTTACACTTTGCATTTCTGACTCTAAACTGAGGACTAGAAAAAGAATTTACAAATCTAATTATCAATTAAAAAATTTCCAGAACACCAATGGTAACCTCACTAATGGCTACTCACCTATTATTTGAAAGCTAGCAAACTAGAGCAGTAAAGGCAAAAAGATAATTATTTAATCAGTCATTGACTCCAGTAATTTACATTTTATTTCAGGAAAGAACCCCAAAATACACACCAAAATGATAAAATGGAAAATAAAGCAAAGTAAAGAAGTCTGAGACAGATATCTCATCATAGCTATCTAAAGATATTATCTAAGGATAGTTATGAGCAATCATAGTGAAATAAATGACTATTAAATGAACAAGCAATCAAGTGCTGCATATTCAACACTTGCTTACCATCCCCAAGAAAATTAAAACTATAAGTTTACCCAAAAACTTGCATATAAATGTTCATAAAAGCCAAAAGTGGAAACAACCCAAATGTCTATCAACTGATACATAAAATGCGGAATATTATTCAGCCATAGCAAGGAATAAAGTACGGATACATACACAATATGGATGAAACTTGGAAACATTATTCTAAGAAGAGTCAAACACAAAAGGCCGTATATTGTATGAACTGACTTAACATGAATTGTCCATAATAGGCAAATTCATACAGACAGAAAGTAGATTAGTGGCTGATAGGAGCTGGAGGGATGGGGTGAATGGGGTATGATTGCTGATGGGTACAGGGTTTCTTTTTGAAGTGACAAAAATGTTCACTTGTCACTTTACGTTACTATAAACACACAGTAATTAGATAGTGGTGATGGTTGTACAATTTTGTGAATAGAAAGTACTAAAGCCCACTAAACTGTACACTTTTAAAAGGTAAATTTTATGTTACATATATTAGATCTCCATTGTTTAATAATTCAATATTAAAGATAGGTAAGTGAAAGGCATTCCGTGAATAAATAGAAATTTAGGAGGCAGGGAAAGCCTTAAGAGTTAAAGATATAGTTTTGTTTGTTGTCTATTTGTAGGGAAATGTCTCATACACAACTTAAATCACAAGAGCATTTTCTCTCTAAAGGAAAAAATAATTTTAAAAAAAGATAACGACATCTTAATCAGGCAAGTTACCAAAGTGGCTGAGACTCATTCTGAGAGAAAAGTGGTAACTAGTACAGAATAGATCATAAAAGCTGAGACAAGAGAGTTTCAAAAGGTGGGAGGAGCTATAGATTACCTTTATATTTAGAAAAAATACACATACAATAAATACTACTTTATAAATATAACTGAGGAAAAGAAGAGTGTACAATAACACCAAAATAATGAAAAATAAAAAGCAGGGATTGCAAAATGCTGACAGATTTTAACATATGTAGGTTACAAGTGACTTAGAAGCATAGAAAAGGTGGAAGTCAGATTAAAATAGTCACGGTGGGCCTATGCCATACTTCTCCATATTTGGCAAAGAAAACAAAAATTAAAATATGATAAAAACTATAGGGCAACCTGGTCCAAGGGTAGACTTTTCCAGAGTATCTAAGATGTGTCCACATTCACCAAGAGGGACAAAGGAGCCAAAGTAAAGGGGAATCCTAAAAGATAGCTATGAACTATTTCCTATGAAATAGGAGATGTTAGGGTGACAAGGCCTAAGAAAGGCAGAAGAAAACAGTACTGTGTGCAGAGATATATTTTCACATCCAAGTTACCCATCCAAGTTAACCCCACCAATGTATAAGTCAGCTAAATAAGTAATAATCTGGTTGTGTTACCCTTTCTTTTGTTGGCCAAGTACAAATAACATGGATTAGTAAAGAGAGTCTGAGACTTAAGAGTGAAGCACACCTGGGTTCAAATCCTAGTTCTGCCACTCACAGAACAAAGAAGTTAAGGGGTAATGAGGAGGAGAGGAGTCTGTATCATTTTAAAAACAGAAATATGTATCATCTATAAAAGAAATTTTGTGGCCAGGCACGGTGGCTCAAGCCTGTAATCCCACCACTTTGGGAGGCCAAGGCGGGTGGATCACCTGAGGTCAGGAGTTCAAGACTAGCCTGGCCAACATGGCAAAACCCCGTCTCTACTAAAAATACAAAAATTAGCCAGGCATGGTGGCTGGTGCTTGTAATCCCAGCTACTCAGGAGGCTGAGGCAGGAGAATCACTTGAACCAGGAAGGCGGAGGTTGCAGTGAGCTGAGATTGTGCCACTGCACTCCAGCCTGGATGACAAGAGCGAATCTCCGTCTCAAAAAGAAAAAAGTAATTTTGTAATATTTCAAACAACAAATCAATACAATCTGAGTAAGAAAAGCATAATTCATAATTCAGCACCTAGGATTTGAATCTAAATTATTAAGCAGCTTTTTAAAAATTTTATTATTATTATTATTATACTTTAAGTTTTAGGGTACATGTGCACAATGTGCAGGTTAGTTACATATGTATACATGTGACATGCTGGTGCGCTGCACCCACTAACTCGTCATCTAGCATTAGGTATATCTCCCAATGCTATCCCTCCCCACTCCCCCCACCCCATAACAGTCCCCACAGTGTGATGTTCCCCTTCCTGTGTCCATGTGCTCTCATTGTTCAATTCCCACCTACGAGTGAGAACATGTGGTGTTTGGTTTTTTGTTCTTGCGATAGTTTACTGAGAATGATGATTTCCAACTTCATCCATGTCCCTACAAAGGACATGAACTCATCATTTTTTATGGCTGTGTAGTATTCCATGGTGTATATGTGCCACATTTTCTTCATCCAGTCTATCATTGTTGGACATTTGGATTGGTTCCAAGTCTTTGCTATTGTGAATAGTGCTGCTATAAACATACATGTGCATGTGTCTTTATAGCAGCATGATTTATAGTCCTTTGGGTATACACCCAGTAATGGAATGGCTGGGTCAAATGGTATTTCTAGTTCTAGATCCCTGAGGAATCGCCACACTGACTTCCACAATGGTTGAACTAGTTTACAGTCCCACCAACAGTGTAAAAGTGTTCCCATTTCTCCACATCCTCTCCAGCACCTGTTGTTTCCTGACTTTTTAATGATTGCCATTCTAACTGGTGTGAGATGATATCTCATTGTGGTTTTGCTTTGCATTTCTCTGATGGCCAGTGATGATGAGCATTTTTTCATGTGTTTTTTGGCTGCATAAATGTCTTCTTTTGAGAAGTGTCCGTTCAGAATACACATTTTAATTTTAAAGATATTTTATTTGAAGTTTATTCTTTACACAATTTCGTCCAGAAATCTATGCCATTCATTGTGACCTACATAAAAGTTTGACTGGCTTTATTTTTCACAAAATACTGGCCATTACAAGAAATCAATGTTGCTTTGACTACTTATTTTATTTTTCTAAGAATAAGCTTTAAGTTAACAAATTATTCATTAGAATCACTACTTTTCACTTTTGATAAGCTGCATCTTATGTTGCCCTCACTTCCCTTCAGAATTTTCAAAGGAAATGTTAACCAGTTGTTATTGCAACTACCTGTTTTGTAATTTTAGTACTGGAAGTGATATGGGAGGCAGGCAGGGAAGTGCTGGGTACAGAAAGGCAGGGTCCCTGGTGAAGGCTCCACCCTCGGGCCTGTGCCCACAGAGTGAGGACAGGCACTCCTGTTTTCACACCCAAATGTTGCATTTTTCAAGACCACCCTGGCCTGCCACGCCCCCATCCTGTGCCTACAAAAACCCTGAGACCCTGGCAGGCACACACACAAGCAGCTGAACATCTAGAGGAACACACTGGAAGAACACACCAGCAGATACCAGCAGATGCTGGCAGGCCATCTACTGTGAGATGACACGGAATTTGGTTGCGGGCAGTCAGAGGAGAGTCCGGCCGCCCAGGGCAAGACCACCTTCCCGCTCCATCCCCTTCTGGCTCCCCATACATCTGCAGAGAGCTAACTCCACTCAATAAAACCTTCTACACGCCCATGTGTGATCCGATTTTTCCAGTACACTAGAGCAAGAATCCCGGGATACAGAAAGCCCTCTGTCCTTGCAATAAGGCAGAGGGTCTAATTGAGCTGATTAACACAAGCCGCCTGTGGACGGCTAGGCTGAAAAAACACCCTGTAGAACACGCCCACTGGGGCCTTCAGGAGCTGTAAACACTCAACCCCAGATGCTGCCACAGGGTCAGAGCCCACACTCAAGACCTGCCCGTCTGCATGCTCCCCCTAGGGGTTTGAGCTGCAGGGCACCAATGAAGCAAGTCATACCCCCATCGCATGCCCTGCGAGGGGAATAAGAGAACTTTTCTGGTTCCAGAAGTACAAACTTGTTCCTGACCTTTGCATGCTCTCTCATACTGTTGTATAGCTTCTTCCACTTTCTGATTATTTAACTGCTCCTACAAATTGAAAGAATATAAATTAATTGCAAATTAACTTAAAAACACAATATTTAACAGTGGATCTTGAAAACAGGGCTCAATATTAAGTTTGAAATCAGTCTCCTATATAGCTGGTATACCAGCTGGTACCAGTCTCAAGCTTCCAACTGTCTTTCATCTTGGAGAAAAGGGTAGGGTGAGAGCAGGGGAAAGAAGAAGTAGAGATTGCAGTGAGCCAAGATTGCAGTGAGCCAAGATCGCACCACTGTACTCCAGCCTGGCGACAAAGCGAGACTCCATCTCAAAAAATAAAAATTAAAATTAAAATTTAAAAAAATTAAAAAAAAACACTTTATATGTCTTTATTTATTTATTTATTTATTTGTTTGTTTTTGAGATGGAGTCTCCCTCTGCCACCCAGGATGGAGCGCAGTGGCGCAATCTTGGCTCACTGCAACCTCCACCTCCTGGGTTCAAGCGATTCTCCTGCCTCAGCCTCCTGAGTAACTGGGATTATAGGCGTGTGCCACCACGCCTGGCTAATTTTTGTATTTTTAGTAGAGACGGGGTTTCACCGTGTTGGTCAGGCTAGTCTCGATCTCCTGACCTTGTGATCCGTCTGCCTCGGCTTCCCAAAGTGCTGGGATTACATGCGTGAGCGACTGTGCCCAGCCTATACTTTTAATCTACGTTATGACCCGGTTATTTTACTTACTCAACATTTTAGATAAATGTTTTCTTACAAACCACAAAAAGCAGAAACAAGGGAAAATGAAGTTCTACTGTGTATTTAACATAGAAGGAACAAGAAAAACCATTAAAAGCTTCCTCACTGGTAAACTTAAACTCAAAATGAAGGAAAAAAGAGCTCTCCACCCCTTTTACCTAGAAAGTAGCTGCAAGATTGGAAAAAAATAAGCCTTAAGAGGCAAGATTAAATTATGGGGACCAGATATCCTACAGTTCTAATTGTAACTTATCATGTAATCCAAACTTCACCCCCAATCTCATCTAATGTCACCACTATCTCATCACTTTGTAAGTCTTAAGAGTGAATCATTATGGAATATGGAGATCTCGAATCCTATTGTTATAGAATGCTTTATTATGATTACCTTAAGAATTAAAATCATGTATTTATACCTGACTATTCATTAGTTTGCTTCATTTAAAAGCAAACATGAAAATAATATAACAAATGTATTTTTTTTATTGTTGCCTCATCCATTTGGTTGATATCAAGCAAAAAATAACCATATACAATAAAGGGATTTTGCCTTTTAAATATCATTTTTAAAAGGAATTTGCTGTAAGACCTCAACTCTTTTTGTTTTTTTGCATTTTATTTCAAAATAATTTTAGCTTTGCAAGAGTTCCAAAGAATTTAGCTTCCCTTAATGTTATCATATTACACTACCATGGTACATTTATCAAAAATCAAGAAATTAACATTGGTATACTACTATTAATTACACTCCAGACTTCACCATCATTCACCAGTCTTTACTTGTCTTTAATGACCCTGACACTTTATACTTCATACTGGTGAAGCAGTAAGTATAACATCCTCCATTTGGGTTTGTCTAATGTTTTTTCGTGAAGAGTCTGAGGTTATAAATTTAGGGAAAGAATACCAAAGAGGGTATGTGCCTTTCTGGTCACATCAAACCAGGAAGCACACAGCATCAATATGACTAATGGTAATGTTATTCTTAAACACTTGGTTAAAGTGGTATCTGCTAGGTTTCTTCACTATGAAGTTATTATTTTTTCTTTTCCATAGTCTATTCATTAGAAGAGAGTCACTACTGGCCTACTTAATTTTATCTTTTTTTTTTCTTTTTTGCCTATTTAATTTTAAATAATTTATTTCTAGATTCTAGAAAAAGTCAAAACAGGATGTTATTAAAAACAAATTTGTACCTTTTTGTACACTAAAATATACCAAGAGAATGCATTTAAATCATCTTTAAAAACAAAACTGTTTACCTTGAGTTGCTGAATGGTTCGCTGTTTCATATCTAATTCCTGAGAACACTGGTTTTTCTTTTTCTCCAGTTCATTAATTTTAATCCTCAGTAATTTATCCTCATCACGCATTACAGATACCTACAAAATAATGTTTATAAAACAAATGGAATATTTTAAAAATACTAACTGCTTTTTGTTATTTAAGATTCATGGCAACTATGTTCAAAGATTCACATCCTTTACAGCCTAAAAGAAAAATGACAGATTTTAATATACTACAAATCAAACACACTATAGCTTCAAATTATTAGAAAATGTTTTAATACTCTAATGAAGAATGCATATGAAAAACTCAATTTCTTGTTCCATTATTTAAGAATCTCAAACTTTTTAAGTTCTCTCAAAAAAGAATTATCATAACATCTATACATAATAGGGAAATAATTACCAAGGAAAAATCAATAAAGATATTCTGAGAGAAAAATACTGATTCAAATTTCCAAAGTTTATTGAGTAATATAATCCAGGAATACAAGAAAAACTTTAAAAGCTAATAATGACATGCAGGGAAGAAAATGGAACAATCACAAAATCAAAAGGTACCCACGCAAGTGAAGGTCAATTGATTTCTGCTGTTGCCGGTAATCTAATGCCATAAACGTAGGGAAATCGAGGTACTATGGACTAATATATATATTAATTTCTCACCCAAAAAAGCTAATATAGGTACATCCTTATACTAGTTTCCATCATACCAACCCCCTCTGAAACCTTTCAGTACATCTTGCCAGGATTTCCAGAGGGAAGTTATCTAACTGGCAGCAGAGCCTTCTCTTCTATTCCCTTGTGGAGCTTTACTGCCAAAACTCCATTTTCACACTCGCTAGAGAGCTCAAAAACGGAAGGAAATTAAATGAAAAGATGCCCCATAAAAAGCATAGAGAAGGCCGGGCATGGTGGCTCATGCCTGTAATACCAGCACTCTGGGAGGCGGAGGCAAGTGGATCACGAGGTCAGGAGATCGAGACCATCCTGGCTAACACAGTGAAACCCCATCTCTACTAAAAATACAAAAAACATTAGCCGGGCATGGTGGCACGTGCCTGTAGTCCCAGCTACTCGGGAGACTGAGGCAGAAGAATTGCTTGAACCCGGGAGGTGGAGGTTGCAGTGAGCCGAGATCACGCCACTGCACTCCAGCCTGGGCAACAGAGTGAGACTCCGCCCAAAAAAAAAAAAAAAAAAAGGCTTGAAGATGCCCTTATTATAGTAGCTCAGAGTGGTATGGTTTCAGAGGATTCTTACATTGTTTTAAGCTTTATGTTCCAATAATACATACATGATAATCACATATTCATAATATTTGCTAATTTTGTTTAAAAAAATGAGGCTTCAAGTAATAAACACCATCTTCATCAACTATATAACTAACAATAATAGAGGCTATGTGCTGCACAAAGATGCATGTAAGGACTGCCTCGGTTTCCATTCTGGCTCTAGCACTTACTACTGAGTGAACTTAGACAAGTCTTATTAAGACTAAGACAAGTGAACTTAGACAAGGACAAGTTCCCCCTTATCCACAGGGGATATGTTTCAAGATCGCCAGTGGATACCTGAAACATTGGATAGTATTTCAAGATCCCCAGTGGACAGTATTGAACCCAGACACCATCAATCGAAACACACTTCTGTTTGCATCCTCCACCCACAAATTTAATGCTTTTTCCATCTTAGCTAAGCAATTATCATGAATTGTGGCCATAACTTTTGCAGTGAGGTGCACCAGCAAAACTAACATAAATTTCTTTTTTCTTCTTCGCAATTTCACAGATGGAAGATTTGTTCTTACCATAGATCTTAGCAACCTCAGATTACAATTTTTTTTCTTTATTTATTAAGTTAAGAACTTTTACCTTTTCATTTAAAGGAAGCCCTTTACAACAACATTTTGGCTTATCTGAATTGCCAGCATCACTACTTTTGCATGTTGAGACCATTATTAAGTAAAATAAAAGTTACTTGAACACAAACACTGTCCCTGATACCATGACACGTGATCTGATAATTGAGATGACTAAGTGATTAATAGGTAGCACTAACAATGTGGATATGCTAGGCAAAGGGATAATTCTAACTCCAGGCAGGACAGGATGGCACAAGCTTTTGACCCACTACTCAGAATGACCTGCAATTGAACTGTTTATTCCTGGAATTTCTATTTAGTATTTTCAGCTCATGGTTGGCCACAGGTAACTGAAACCACAGAAAGCAAAACTGCCAGTAAAGGGAGACTACTGTATCCCTCAATGTCTGTTTTCTTATCAACAAAATGGAAGTTAAAAACAGTGTCTATACCCGATATTGTGTGAGGATTAAGATAATATGTCAACTCAGCATAGCAGCTGGCCTAGATTAAATTGCTATAATTATTATTATTTGCTTTAAAACTACACATTTGAGAAATAGAAAATACTTTTAATACCCATCATTAGAGTAATGTTAAATAGTCATCTATATGAGGAGGGAGCCTCAACCACCTGGCCACAGACAAATACTGATCCATAGCTTGTTAGGAACTGGGCCACACAGCAGGAGGTGAGCGGCAGACAAGGGAGTGAAGCTTCATCTGTATTTACAGCCACTCCCCATCACTCACATTACCGCCTGAGCTCCGCCTACTGTCAGATCAACAGAGGCATTAGATTCTCATAGGAGTGCAAACCCTATTGTGAACTCTGCATGCAATGAACCTAGGTTGTGCATTCCTTATGAGAATCTAATGCCTGCTGATCTGCCACTGTCTCCCATCACCCCCAGATGGGACCGTCTAGTTGTAGGAAAACAAGCTCAGGGCTCCCACTGATTCTACATTATGGTGAATTGTATAATTGCTTCATTATATATTACAATGTAATAATAATATAAAGTGCACAATAACTGTAATGTGTTTGAATCATCCTTAAAGCAGCCAGCCCCTACCCTGGTCCATGGAAAAATTGTCTTCCACAAAACCAATCACTGGTACCAAAAAGGCTGGGGACTGCTATCTATACTTGAAAAGAGATACCTCTATAAGTAGCAATAAAAAAGACTTTAACAATACAATAAATTTAAAAGGAGCTAGGGCATGGTGGCACACCTGTAGTCTCAGCTACTAGGGAGGCTGAGATGGGAGGATCACTTGAGCCCAGGAGTTCAAAGTTACAGTGAGCTATGATCACGCCACTGCACTCCAGATTGGGTGACAGAGTAAGACCCTGTCCCAAAACAAAATAAATAAACTTAGAAAAAAGAGCCCCCTTTTAATCACACCTGAATTTATGCTAATGAAATAGCTTTGAGTGGAGGCTCCTTTGAAATAGCTTAAGGGTAGGGCTACTCACCAAAAGACCAAAAATGATTAGAGTTGGAAATTTCAGTCCCACCCACCAAACTCTGTGGAAGAGAGGAGGGTTGGAGATTGAGTCATGAGAACTATTGTACAGTGAGGTTCAGAGAGTGTCCCACTTGGTGAGCACACTGAGGTCTTAGGAGGGTGGTACACCCAGAGAGGGCACAGAAGCTCTGCACCACCCTCTGTCCCCCTTAATCTGTCCTGTGTATCCCTTCTATTTGTCTGTTCTTGAGTTGTATCCTTTATAATAAACCAGTAAATTTTTTTTAAATAAGTAAAAATAAAAACTACATACTTTAAAAAAAAAAAAAAAAAGACAGCACAATTAAAATGAACAAATGACTTCAACAGAGCAGAAACTGGGATAGACAAATAGAAATAAAAATATGAATAGAAGCTGTACTTCATTAGCAATCAAAAGAATGCAAATTAAAACTACCATGAGATAACACTTCATATCCTCTAACACAGTAATTCCCCACTTGGTATATAAACTTTTGCATATGTGTACCAAGAGCATATAGAAGATATTTGCATTATGGCTATGGGCAAAAAATAATAAACAATCTAAATGGTCATCAACAAGAGACTAAATAAATTGCGCTAAGTCACACAACAGAATACTATACAGAGGTGAAAATGATTAATTACGACTGTACAAAATCAATCTCAGAAATATGATGTGAAAAATAAAAGTTTGAGAAGAAAATACTGTTTAGAGATTAAAAAATATGGTTAAATTATATTTTTTAAAGTTTAGATAAACACAACATTCAGTAGTCACTTTTATAGTGGTAGAAACAGCATTTGTTGTATTAATATTTGTCAGACCTTACACATTTAAGTATTATTTGGTAACTACCTCAAAGTTTAAAAAAAAAAAAAAAAGTGCTCCAATCTTTAGAGAAGGTCTAAGTACGACAGAAAATGAAGTGGTCATACAAGAAAATGGGAAGGAGGGAGAAGTGCAGAAAAAGAAAGAAATTGGTAACATTTGATGCTGTGAAGGTAAACTTGACAGCTCGAAGGAGTGGGAAGTATTTCCTTCTCATTGTATACATCTATTATATTTCAAATTTGGAATAATGTGATTGCATTCCCTTTTAAAAATTAAGTTATAATAAAAACTAAAAAATCATACTGCACATTCTCCTAAGTACTATCTGTAAACAAGTTGCTTTCCACTTTTTTGTAAGGACTTACATTTAGCAATTCTTAAAGAAGAAAAAGACTAATCTTTCATAAGGTACATATTTCTCTTAATGTTGGACATTCTTCAGCTTGTTTAAATCAGCTAAATTTTCTCTCGTGAAGTAACTGTTCTTGTAATTTTAAGAAAAATTATAAAGTGGATAAATGTTCTATTCAATCCTAAGATTAATGTCTAAGTTTGATATATAAGGAAAACAATCTTTATCATAAACTGGCCACATAACTTTTCAAATAACCTACCTCTTTCTGTACTTGCTTAATCTGCTTTTTGGCATCAGTCAGTTTCTCTTTCAGGTCAGCATAATCTTCTTCCTTCCTCTGAAGATCTGCTTTCAGATTCTGGGTACGAGCAGAGCTTGCAGAGAGTTCCTCTTTCAATCTAAAAAACATAAACCACTTTTCTATGGTAATGCATCATTAACTGCTTAGGACCATACATGTGAAATGGTAACAATCTTTACAAAATTATATCTTTTCACAAATTTGGAATATCCAAACTATGAATGAGTTCTTCAGAAAATATTTCATATGATTTTTATAAGCTGATCTTTTCACATAACCTATGGTCCAAAGGTTTATATGGACAAAGTTCAAGTTCTTCACTCATCATACATGCTACGCTTTACCAGATTAAGTATGACTATCTAACTTTTTTAAAGCTGCATAGCAAAATGAATGCTTTGTGTATTTTAAAATATTTTGAATAACATTTAGCTTACTTTTCTGTTTCTTGCCTGTTGGTTTCTTCTTCTTCTTCTTTTAATTGAAGTAAATGTTTCATATCTTGCAAATTATTTGTTAACTGTGTGATTTCTTCTTTCAGCTTGAGTTCCTTTACATTTAAATCTTTGGTGTTTTTGACAGAATCCTGAAGATGTTCTTGAAATTCCTTCAAATTTCTTTCTAGCTTTAAGATGATAGATTCCTTTTCCAAAATGTCTTGTTCTAACTTGGCTGAATGACTACATTCAACTTTCTGAGTCTCTAAAATTGTTTCAAGTTCCTTTATTTTTGCCTTATAGCAAGTAACACCTTGTGTAAGTTCTGAAAGCGCTCTCTTTCCTTCAACTACATGCTGTATTTGAACATCAAGAGTAACATTTTTTTCTTGCAATTCTTCTTTCAGCTGCTGTATAAGAGTTTCTTTTTCTTTTAGTAGGTCATCTTGGTTTTTATGCTCCTTCTCCTTTAGTCTATTGTTTTCATCCTTATAGCCTTTTACTTCTGCCTGCAATTTTTCAATTTGTTGTTCCAGTTCCTCAATCTGATGACTTTTTTTGGAAGAGGCCTTCACAATCTCTTTACATTCTTCCCAAATAGCTTCAATACTAGAGTGGAAAGAATTTTCCCTATTGGGTTCTTGAATTCGATATTCTTTAACTTGCTTACTTACCAAATAATCATTACCTAAAAGGTCTAACTGTGTATTTGGCAAATTATCCTCCTCAGAACCATTTGACAGATCCCTGAGATTGAGCAAATCTATGTTTGAAATCTGAGAAACTGAATCAAGAGTACGTAGTTCGTCTATTTTCGTGTGCATTAATTTTATTTGTGAAACATTATTTGTAATGCTTCTTGTAGCAGTTTCTATCTCATTTGACAATTTCATGATCTTTTCCTCCTGTTCTTGATTTTTACTTTTCTGCACATGTAATTCAGCAATTGCAATATCATAATTTGACTGAATTTGTTGGACCTCTTTACTTAAAGTTAAATTCTTTTTTTCAGAAAGAGAAAGTTCCTGCTGAAAATGAACAATCTGTTTATTTAATTCTGCTTTTTCTTCCTTTTCATTTTTAAGTTCATTCTCAATAGTGAGTAAAAATGCTCTCAGTCCTTCATTATTTTCTTGTAAAACTCTGATGTCTTCAATTTCTGCAATGTTCGGTCGCACTTCTTCACTTTTCTTTTGGTCTTCAGTGATAGCTGAACTAACATGGATAGACCCTTTAAAAATAAGAAAATTGTTATTAATCTGGCAAACCTTAATAAAACCAAAAAGTCACCATATAAGCCAATATTCAAACATACAAAACATGTAAAAGTAAACTTCTAATTAAAAAAAAAAAATGAAATAAGCTGTTGAGAAAAAAAGAAAAAACAGGTTTTAAAACATGTGGTATGAGCCCATTTATGTAAAAATTATTATTTCACAAGGTAATACAAAGTTAGCAAAGGAAGTACACCAAAATGATGGCAGCTACCTACCTCTGAGTAGCATTACCAGCTATTTCTAACTTTCAGTATTATTTAAATTTTGTACCACAAATCTTTATTGTCATTTCAATATGGGACAGAGAGGAGGAGATGACGAGAAACCCTAGGCAGACATTCCATATCCTAACGAACAGTTTTAAGCTACAATTATATTGTGGCTTTTACTATATTAGCAATAGGCAAATGGAGTATCTTAAATTTTCATAGCTAAAATTAGAAGGGACATGTTAAAACTTTGGGAATTCATATAATATAGCCTTACTAGCTGTAACCATTAATAAACTGCTTCATACTACGACTGTTTCCTCAAATGTGATATAGGAATAATACCACCTATCTCAAAGTTGTGAAGATCAAGATGACAAATGGGTTGACGACACTGTGCATTGGATAGATTTAACTATTAATAGAACCTGAAAATCTGTACAGAAGGATTCAACTAATTGAAAATGCATAAAAGTTTGCCTTTTTCAGGCTTAATATGTATATTGCTAGAATAAAGATACCCTTACCTGCCCAACTTACTCTACAGAATAATGCTAAGAGACTAAAATGAGTTAATACGTAATGTAAGTTAAATGACTACATAAATGTTGTATACATGTAAGAACTTTAGCCATTATAATCAGTACAGATCAAATTATACCCAGAACAGATACACTATTAGCTACAATTTAATTCATAAGTTCACTCTGACAAATAAACTCACCCCACGTAAGTGCCCAGTATAAATTATATTCTTTTAAACTTTCCTCATAGATTCCATGATTAAATCTTGAAATATAATTAACAATCTTCTAGATATATAAATTTATATCTACATATCTTTTTATATTTCATACAATTTCCATTAAGGGTCAGATGAGTGTCTCAGATCCTCGAAACCTTACTTCAAAACAGGCCAGAATCTGACTCTTCGTTTTTAGAAATTTTTTCCTGTTTTGTTATACTTCATGGTTTGATGTTTATATGATGTTTGCAAGTAGACTTTACAACATTGTTCTGGTACAATTTTTATGTGAATTTTCTACACGACTTTGCTCTAATACAATCAATTCCATATGTTCTTCTGACCGCCATTCACTCCCTCACTGACCATTTCTGTTTAATTAACCTGTATTTTTATGTGATATCCTCACTATGTAAGAATCAAATTCTTCTTGTTTAATGATCCCAGATATAATATGAAGTACAAGGGTTACTAATCTATAAGAGCAGAAGACAATTATAATGTAGGTTTGGCTTGAAATCCTTCTAGTTAAGAAACCTACTACTTTCTGGCCGGGCACGGTGGCTCACGCCTGTAATCCCAGCACTTTGGGAGGCAGAGGCGGGTGGATCACGAGGTCAGGAGATCGAGACCATCCTGGCCAACATGGTGAAACCCTGTCTCTACTAAAAACACAAAAAAATTAGATGGGTGTGGTGGTGGGCGCCTGTAATCCCAGCTAGTCGGGAGGCTGAGCCAGGAGAATGGCTTGAACCCAGGAGACGGAGGTTACAGTGAGCCAAGATCATGCCACTGCACTCCAGCCTGGTGACAGAGGAAGACTCTGTCTCAAAAAAAAAAAAAAAAAAAAAGACACTTACTACTTTCCATTGGTATCTAATTGACTCTAAAAAGTATATGGTACATTTTTCTTTTTAATGAGTCCCGAATATTATCCTATGCATCTCAGCTCTTTATATTTTATTGAAATATGTTTGTCTCTCTCATCTACTAGATTTTAAGCTCCTTGATGGCAGACTCCCTATATCTCACTCATCACGAACAATAAACCTAAATAGAATAATAATCCTAAATGTAATATTTTTGAAACTTAACTATACCACATATGTTCTTCTTTTCTATCTCTAAGACATATCATGGTATAGAAAACAAATAATCTTTGTGATTTTTGCAATAATAATTTATTCTGCTTCTAGATATATGTAAATTCATGAATCTGACATATTCCAGTTACATTAATTTTGTTACTTTATGGTAACTTTATGTTTAAAATTTTAATGTTCTCTCTTTAACACTGAAAAACATTTATTTACACAAGAGTGATTTTCTAGTTTTATTGGGAGGAATTATCCAGGGACCTTATTAAAATGCAGATTCCTGGCACCAAATACCAAAGATAGTGATTTGGTAAGTCTGGGATGTATTTTACATGCAACGTTTTGAGAATTAGTGTTCTGGGGTATTATTTTTGAAAATTTCTAGAAGTTGACAGTGACTTCTGTAATACCTTTGGGATCTTAACATATCAGTTTGTTACATTACAAAGCCCTTAACTGACAGCACTGCTGCATGTAATTGTTCCTTAAGAGCCAAACGTCAAACCTCTTGTAGTTATGAAATTCAAACCCATTAAGTTTTAGCCTGCCTCTCACAGGCTCTTGTGCATCCTAGTTGTGAGATGATAGCCCATGGGATGCACATGTAATGAATCTGTTCGATGAAGAAGGCAGCACTTTTGAGATCATTACAAAGCTCATTAAATTGAAATCTGCCATGCCATATACAAATGAGTTTCTATACTCATTTCCATATATACTAATCACAGTTGAAGTTATGAGCAAAATAAAGGAAAAGCCAAAGCATTTATGAAAGGTCCCTCAGGTACTACCATAATGTGGAGAAGAAAAAACTTATGTGATTGTTTGTTCTCAAGGTTTTTTAATACTATGACCCCCCACCACCACTTTCATTTTTTTAGACACAGTTTCACTCTTGTTGCCCTGGCTGGAGTGCAATGGCGCAATCTTGGCTCACTGCAGTCTTTGCCTCCCAGATTCAAGTAATTCTCCTGCCTCAGCTTCCCAAGTAGCTGGGATTACAGGCATGCACCACCACACCAGGCTAATTTTTTGTAATTTTAGTAGAGATGGGGTTTCATCACGTTGGTCAGGCTGGTCTCAAACTCCTGACCTCAGGGAATCCACCCACCTCGGCCTCCCAAAGTGCTAGGATTACAGGCATGAGCCACCACGCCCGGCCTATGACCCCTTTTGATAAATTAAAATCCCCTAGCTCTCTCAAGATACTGATTTCCCCCAGTGAGAATATGCCCCCACCCAAGAATCACTATATAATATGGGAATCTTACCTCCCTGTCCCATCTAGAATTTATCTAGTTTTGCCTTCGATACTGTATATACAAAAAACAACCTGTATTTGTTAAGTCTTCATTTCTCAAATGCAATGCATGTTCTTTTTTGTTTCACTCAATTGTCTAAATGTTCTTGGGAAGCTGTAATTGTGCAATTTCATTACAGGATTCCAAGATCTCTTTTCTTCAATACAGACTAATTTTAAAAGCTCAGTGGACAAGGTTTTATTATGTATAATTTACACTGTCCAGCCTCAAAGAGGAAGGGGTAAAATAAGGCATTATGCCTGCTGTATTTTCTTAAAAGCTGCTGAGTTTCTTTTTGAAGCGTTTCTTATGTTTGCAATTTACATTTTCCTATTTATTTCCTCAAGATTTTCAGTTTATTCTAAAGAGTCTACCTCCTCTAAAATTCAAAGGTTTGCCCTTCTTTATATTTACAACAAACTTGCCCAGTTACTATTAAAGATTTTTTAAAAAATAATCTTCAACATGTATTATCTTTCATCAGACTGTCTCCTGGTATCACAAATACAGCTTGAATACATTTATTATTAATAATATTTAGCTCAAAGTCTTACTGTAAAATATCCTTTTCTCCAAATGAATAAAGAATGCAAACAAAGAAAACAAAATAATGTGCTGGGATTTAGGCAGAAAATACTATATTTATAAAATCAAAGTAATGAGTTTTAACTATTATAAGCACAGAAATTATTACATAGACTGCGAAAGAAATAATAAAAGCACAATTTCTAAAAGCATATTTATTAAGATAAAAGCTTTAACTATGCCCATCCCTAGAAAATGTATAACTTTCCAGAATAAAAATTCAAGACGTTTAGATTTTCTCAAGATTTTTCCTTAGACAAGTGAATGCCCCTCTGTTTGCCTTGTTCTATTTACTGGTTTAGAAATTAGCTTTCTTAAACGCCTGCTGCTGGCAGCTGAAGTAGTACCTTTCTTTGCTGGTGGTTCATCTTGCTGAAGTTCATTTTCATTTACTCTTTTTCTTTCTGAACAGATTTTAGATTTGCTGTCCTTAGGTACTTCAACTGTTTCATTACAAATCAATTTATTGTTTATTATTAAAGAAGATGTATCAGCCTTGTCCTAAAGCAAAATAAGTTAAAAATAATTCACATATAGAAAGCTACAAAAAATGTACAAATCACATAAATTACTTTCAATGGTGTACCATAAAAATTTTATTTTCAAATTTGTTGAGACATTTTCTAAGTTATTTCTTAAGTTTCGTCCTAAAATAACTGATGGCTCTAGCAAATAAGTAACATTTGGGGATAACTGGAGAATCTTAAGAAGATAAATCTCTGAAGTCACATCAGAAATGTGCTTTGAAAAGAAAAATATGAACTCAACTATTTATTTTGTTTTGTAGCCAAAGCCTCTTAAAGATTAGTATTGTCTTAAACATTAACAACTCCTAGAAAAATAGTTTTGCCCTTAGCTTTAAGTCGATATATATTCAAAGATATACAGCCTACAGACAGCTTTGAAACTGAGCTTCTAGATACGTCATTTAGACTTTTTTTTTTTTTAAGGCAGACTGCCTCCCTTGAAAAGGCTAGTAGCAACCAAGCACAGGGGCTCCTGCCTGTAATCCCAGCACTTTGGGAGGCTGAGGCCGGAGGATTACTCAAGCCCAGGAGTTTGAGACCAGCCTGGGCCACACAGTGAGAACCCGTCTCTACAAAAAATTAAAATTCCAGGTGTTGTGGTCCATGCCTGCAGTCCCAGCTACTCGGAAGGCTAAGGCAATGGGATCTCTTGAGCCCAGCAGTTCAAGGCTGCAGTGAGCCATGGTCACATCACTGCACTTCAGCCTGGGCAACAGAGTGATGAGACCCTACCTCTAAAAAGAAAGAAAGTGGGGGAGCTGAGAGAGGGGGGGAACTTCCAAAAAAAGGGTATAATATGGATTTAGAAGAAGGGTAAAACTCAGCATTTAAGCGCAAGTCTATAGAGTAATCAAATGTATGGTGAAGGCAGAAACTTGTAGCAATCAATTTGAAAAAACAAAGTGTATGATAGAGTGCCGCTTAATCAGCAAACATTGTATTAGCAGGAAATACAGATAAAAATAACCTTTTAAAGTCATAAAGTAATGGGTTATTTAAGAAAAAAGGCAAAGTTTTTCTAGTATCTCTAAACAAAGGATGTCATAAAGAACAATCTCCACGCTTTCTCACAATTAGTCCCTTAGTGTCACTGATAAATGACAAAATCATGGGACAGGCAGATCACACCTCTGACACAGCTCCATAACAAGTCCAAGTTGTTCCTTCCCCGATCCTTGGTACCTATCAGAATGATCCCGTCATTTTTCCCCGCTTCAAAATATACAATCCTCACCAAAAATCTATCCTTCAGAAGTTATAGTTATTGAAAGGAGGGTTTTCTGCTCCCAGGGTATGCTTGGGTAGAAAAAGCAAAGAATTCAAACTAAATTTTTTCATTATTGGAAAGAGTTTGCGCTCAAGACAAGATGTGGAACAGTGACCCTAGATCAACTGTTAATCAGGACAATTAGGTAAGTTCCAAACTACTTTGTATATTTGTATGTATTTAAGTGAACAATTTAAATTTAGCACACTGTATTAAGTTAGTTGATAAAACAAGATCTAGAATCTATAAAGTTTATTTACAAGCAAGGACTAACTAATTTACAAATATTGATTTTTTTACTATCACTTCCTTAAATATTGCTAATATATTATGGTATGCAAACACACTACAGCAATAAATATAATCCCATGTGAAATTTCCAACTATTTTCTTTGAAGTTGTAGTCACCAGAAATGACCTGTCTCTGACTTTCCTTTTTGTTTTTATTTACCAAATCAAAGAACAGACTTAAAATCCAGATCAAGAGATGAGAGCAAAAAGCATGTGATGACTAACCAAATAAAAGTTTCGAGAGCCAGGAGGCCCAGCAATTAATTTACTGCCCCAAGTCTCAAAATTTTAACATCCCCTTACTTCACAAATCAATTTCCTCTTCCTTAATCTCTACTACTACTACCGTAAATCGAAGTCCTCATCAACTATTAGCTGAACTCTTCCAAGAGGTAGCTATCTGGTCTCTCTGCCTGTAGTCTAATTCCATCTCAATCCTATCTTCCAAGTTTCCAAAAATATCTACTCAAATGAAAAACTCCTCTTTGCTATTCCTCTGGTGAAAATGACTCCCCCACTGACTCCCCAAACTCTTTAATGCAGTATTCAAGGTCTTTCATCTTATCCTATTCTACTACTCCTAGCCTCATTTCTCACCTCTCCTTGCTTCAAACTTTCTTCCTAAACAACAAATTGTTTGTATTTTCCTGCACTCACTGAAAGATTTCTCATTTCCATGACTTTGTGCACTCTGATTCTGGTACATGGAAGGCCAATGTACCTTCTTGTCTCTCCTGACTACCACTGTCCCCTTCCTCTACCTTCAAAAGGCTAAATTTTACTCACCCTTTAAGGCTCAACTTAATCATTTTCATCTCCACAAAGTATTCCTAACTCCCCACCCACTCACAGCTTCACACATTGACTACGACTGCACATTGTATTATAACTATATTTATGTTGTTTTTTTCTTATTGGGGGATTGTTAGGGTAGTAGATTTTATTAATCTGTATAATTCCAATAATCTAGCATAGTACCTGGCACACGTTGGACACTCCACAAGTGTTTCTTGCTCCTCCACCTTATTAAATACTAATTATTACTAAATAGTTTATTATTAACATATTAAATATTAGGATATTTCTCCCAGTTCAGGTACAGAAAAACCAGAGAATGAATCATGTATCTAATAAATACCAAAAGAAAGGCCTACTATAGGAGATTAGACAGAGTGCTCTTCTAGAATGCTCCTCATTTACCCCTGTGGTATCAAATGCCCATCTAAAGTTCAGATGAATCAGGGAATGTTGGTGGGTATTAGAGTTTGACTATCAAGATACAAAGGAAACTCAACAGTCACTTTTTATAAGATACCACGCCTGCTTCTTTTGGTCATAGAAAAGACATAAAAAAGCACCTTTCAACAAAGCAAGATGTTTGGCTCTAAGTTTACTCAGCTTACTACATTATTACCATATATTTTACCATTTCTAAATAAAAGAATAATTTGAAGGAGCTTACCCCAAAAAAAGAAAACCAAAAGCCATTTTAAAAGACATGGATTAAAAGACAAGCTGATCATTCTAAGCTGAACTGAATATGAAATTATCTAAATTTGTATGAAAGACAACCCTTTAAGTCTTTACATGTCACAGTGTATAACTTTTTAGAAAAAATATCCTTGCTATTAAGCATATAAACAATAGCAACAATACATATAATAAAAACAAGCTTCTAAGGAAAAACCTAATTTTACTGAATTTCATGTTATAGTTCCCTGAAACATTATAATCTGGTTTTCTAAGTACACCTAAATTCCTTTCTCCTCAAAGCTCCCCTTCCAACTAGCTGAGGCTTAAACGTCCAAAGGCTACATATTCTCCTCCTTTTTACATGCAAAGCACTGCCAGCGTATCTTGTGGAAAAGTATGTTCAAAGAAGTCAAACACCCTCGTCTAAGTTCTCAAAAATTCAGATTTGGAAAACAGTAAATTGAGTTCAATGTTGCATAAGCAATTCAACATTCTCAATAAATTAGTCTTAGTTGCATAAGCTATTTTAAATTATTTCCTTTCAACCAAAACATATGCTTATCTAATTTATTAATATAACACAAGGTTAAATTCTTACATTGCATTTAAATGTGTTTTCCATATGAGACTTTAGGTTCTGAAATTCGTTGATAGTATCTTCTTTTTGATCAATTATATTTATCAATTCTTTAATTCTTTGATTCTGTGTAATTATTTTCTTTGGAAAGAAGAAAAAGCAATGTTTCATGAATATACTTTAGGATAACTAGAATGCAAATATGATTAATAATGCAAACAGTTTTATAATTCCTTCAAATTTTAAAGTTAAATAAAGCTAATCAGTGGCAACACACTATGCACAGCATGATCTTATTTTTGCCTTTAAAAAAATTACATACACACACACACACACACACACACACACACACACACACACACAAAGAAAAAAGAAGCTATATAGCATATAAGAGGAATTTGGAGCCAGACTGCCTGGGCTCAAATCCTAGCTGCTATCCCTTTTAATATGTCACCCTGGGCCAGGCACAGTGGCTCATGCCTGTAATCCCAGCACTTTGGGAGGCCAAATTACCTGGTGGGGAGATTACCTGAAGTCAGGAGTTTGAGACCAGCCTGGCCAACATCGTGAAAGCCCGTCTCCACTGAAAAATACAAAAATCAGCCGGGGGTGGTGGCCACCTGTAACCCTAACTACTTGGGAGGCTGAGGCAGGAGAATCACTTGAACCCAGGAAACGTAGGCTGCAGTGAGCCATGCCACTGCACTCCAGCCTGGGCAACAGAGTGAGACTCCATTTCAAAAACAATAAATAAATAAAACTAAAAAAACTATGTCACCCTGGGCAAGTTACATCATAAAGTTGCTCTAACATTTAAATGAGTTAATAAAAAGCACTTGAAGGAGTATCTGGTAAATGGTAAGTGTTCTATAAATACATACATAAAGTAACAGTCTAAAGAGCTTCCAAACAAGTTGGTTTGGTTTTGTTTTAAATTTAGGAAGAACATTATGGGAAATTTTTTATTTTCTATTTATATAGCTTAAGGTAATTGGTACAACTAGTGTCTACTATTTTCATAAGTAGAAAAAATACAAGAAAAGATAGGAATTGTATAAACAGTAGGTGTAATGTCTTCTAAGTACATTTTTGTTCTTTAAATACTGGATATTAGATACCAAGATCTTGAATTATTTATATCTGATCATATTTTAAAATATTCAGCTTTTTGAAAGGATAAATACAAGTTGAAATAAGAAGACTCAAGCCAAAGAAGAACAGAAAAAATAACAGAATAAAACCAATCCCCCATGCATACCAAGAGACTATATTACTGTTTAATTATTTTTTAAAATAAACAAATCTAGTCATCATTCATACCCCTTTGTTAATTAAATACCTTATCAAGACAAAATAAAACTTAAAGCATTACCTTATTAGATGTCTCAAGCTCTTGAATCAATGAATCTGATTCTGAAAAAATAAAGAACATTGAAAATAAATATCTAAGCATCTAAAAATATGTATCACTGAATAACTATGAAACATATGCTGCTCTAGTGACACTTTACTGTTACATTCAATAAAAAGGATTTTGATAGCACTAGAAGCACACCCTACTCATTAAAAAAAAATCTGCTAATTCAACCACAACAGGGTAATGTTTCAGAAAAAGCCACTTCTAAAACTCAGGATAAAAATAGGTGGCATATGCTAAATAGTAAAGAACTGGCATAGCATCAGAGAAGAAAAGGAGCTAGTGCTTTTTAAGTACATTTCATAATGCAAAGGCACCACTTACGTGTTATTTTCTACCCATTTGTTTCACACAAAAAAGGGCAGAGCAGTTATTGCAACTAATTCTTAAAATGCAGATATTACAAACAATTCTATTTATGTATATAAAATGCCCTCAGCATGGTGGCACATGTCTGTAGTCCAAGCTACTCAGGAGACTAAGGTGGAAGGATCACTTGAGCCCAGGAGGTGGAAAACTGCAGTGAGCCATGATCATGCCTCTGCGCTCCAGCCTGGGTGACAGAGTGAGACCCTGTCTTTAAAAAAAAAAGGGGGGGGGAAGACAGAAAAAGAAAATGCCCTCCTAGTTAGAATGAAGCATCAAACTAACAAATTACTTTAAACCACTCCACAGTAGTCACTCTATCCCAACAGTGAATCTTCTATACTGCAAGAATTTATAAAGAATATAGAACAAGGCCAGGCACAGCACGGCTCATGCCTGTAATCCCAGCACTTTGGGAGGCCGAGGCAGGCAGTATCACTTGAGCCTAGGAGTTCAAGACCAATCTGGGCAGCATAGCAAGATCCCATCTCTACAAAAAAGAAAAAAAAAAAATGCAGCCGCTGTGGTAGTGCACACTTGTGGTCCCAAGTATTCAGGAAGCTGAGGCAAGAGGAGTAATTGAGCCCAGGAGTAGAAGGCTGCAGTGAGCTGTGATGCCACTACTGACTCCAGCCTTGGTGACAGAGCGAGACGCTGTCATAAAAAATATATATATATAACAAAATTTACAGCTTTACTCATAAAGTTAACACTTGTTTTGACTTTTTTTGTTGAGAAGCTCATTTTCTAATAATATTGGTCTAAAATAAATGGAAGTCAAAAAATATTTTTAGTAGTAAATTACTACAAAGTCATACAAATGGTAAAATATTAAAATATGTTACCTAGATGAAAGAATTTTCTGGTCACTACGGTAAATGAGCTACATAAATCTCTTATACTTACCAAGAGTACTTTTTATGTGTTTACAATATCTAAATAAAAGTAAAATGTATCCACTTACCATTTTCTCTCTTTTTTAACTCTTCTTTGGTTTTGATTAATTCTCCTTTGGTTTTAGCTAATTCAGCTTTAATTTGATTAAACTTTAGTTCTAAACAAGCAGTAGCTTCCTGGGGGTCAGGAAGAGATGCAATATATAAGTGAGCAATTTCAGCCTGTTTCTTAATATCAGCAACATTATCTTGAAGAGAATCAATAATATCTTCAAATCCTACATAATTATGTGTTTCCTAAAAATAGCAAAAACCACATGCCTAATATTAACAGTAGGGTTCACCCTTTACATGTGGTACCATCTAATTTAGACAGTTTTTAAAAAAGCAAAAAATTCATCACTTGAAATTCTTTAAAATAAATTATATAGAAGCAACTCCAATTATGAAAAACCTGTGTTCCATTATTTATTTTCTGCTGTATGGACCATGAGGCATATTTTCGCATAAAAACAATGTTACAAACTGTGACAAGTCATTATAGAACAATTATGATTACCTAGTTCAGGTATACTTTCAATTATATAATGAGACTTAAAAGGTTTTGTTGGGATAGTGCATGAAACAAACCTACATTTTCACAACTCAGTCAATCCCAAACCACGTCAAGGATACATAAGGTTTGCTTGACAGCAGACGTCTGGACATCACTGTCACAGGCACTTGAACTGAGTGATTAAAAAACTAAACAAAAACAAAAAAAAACCAACTCCCCCAAAAAACTGATCAATTTCAGCTTCAGTGGAAGCAGCAGAAAAGGATAATTTTTCTTATATTACAAGTAGAGAATAAGCTGAGCACAGTGGCGTGCACCTGTAATCTCAGCCACCTGGGAGGCTGGGCAGGAGGACTGCTTGAAGCCAGGAATTCAAGATCAGCCTGGGTAACACGGCAAGACCCTAACTCTAAAACTATAATAAATAAATAAACAAATAAAATTTTAAAAGAGTAAGAAACGGTAGTTGCCCGGCAAGGGCAACCCTTTTTATACATAAACATTTTTGTTTTAATCAGAACAGCAAGTAAATGACGTCTTAGGTCTCTTACACCTTTAAAATTCTTTTTATTTAAAAATGTTAAGTAAGACAAATCTCAAAAAAGAATCTATCTGCCTACAACACAATGATTCAAGCAATACCAAAATAAGATATATATATATATAACAGAGGTATAAATTTTTCAAAACCAATCATTATATTTAAATTCTTGGTGCCTTACACTTCTAAAAAAACATGCCTAATTATAATAAAGCTACACACAAAGCATTGTTTTAATTCTAAACTATCTTGGTGTTTCTCATCATTGATGTGGTACACTAAACCCTGGTACCAAAACCTCACTGGATATTTTTAAATACTTCAATTAACATACTTCAGTTTCAACTTTTGTGGCACAAATGTCTTTCGCTGCTTCTTCTCGAGTGTCACATTTACCAACCAAATCCTTGAAGATAGCCAAACGACGTTCAGCATTTTCTTCTAATATCTCTCGTTCTTGAAGCAGAGTCTCCCTTCAAAATACAAATTAATCCCATTAAGAAACAGAAAACGAACTACTTTGTGTTTTTGTTTTAAACATCTAAGTTTAAGTATATTCTAGATTAAAAGAAAATTTAGTCCAGGTACAGTGGTTCACGCCTGTAATCCCAGCAATTTGGGAGGCGGAGGCGGGTGGATCACTTCAGGCCAGGAGTTTGAAACCAGCCTGGCCAACACAGCAACACCGTCTCTACTAAAAACACAAAAATTAGCTGGGCGTGGTGGTGTGTGCCTGTAATCCCAGCTACTCAGGAGGCTAAGGCAGGAGAGGCTAAGGCAGAAGAATTGCTTGAACCCAGGAGGTGCAGGTTGCCGTGAGCCAAGATCGCACCACTCAATACCAGCCTGGGTGACAGCACAAGACTCCATCTCAAAAAATTAAAATTTAAATTTAAAAAAGAGAGAAAATTTAAATAACCATGCATGGGATTAGTTACAGCTATATTCTTTTTTTTCTTCTCTGAGACAAGAGTCTCACTCTGTCGCCCAGGCTGGAGTGCAGTGACACAATCTCAGCTCACTGCAACCTACACCTCCCAGGTTCAAGAGATTCTCGTGCCTCAGCCTCCTGAAAGCAGCTGGGACTTCAGGAACATGCCAGTACGCCCAGCTAATTTTTCTATTTTTAGTACAGACGAGGTTTCACCATGTTGGCCAGGCTGATCTCGACCTCCTGACCTTCAGTGATCCGCCTGCCTAGGCCTCCCAAAATGCTGGGATTACAGGCGTGAGCCACCGCACCAGACCAGTAACAGCTATTTTCAAGCTTGTATAAAGAGATCAGAATTCAGAAGCCACCTAATATAAAAAGTAAACTAAGTAAAAAAAAAAACTAAAAAACTAAATAAAATTCTCAATTTTTACCTGGACATGAAATAAATAACTTACTTAAAGTCAGCTTCCCGTTGAGCCCAATACTGAGTAAACTCCTGTGTAACTTCTTCTCGAATTTTAAATTCCAAGGTTAATTTTTCCTTTTTTTCATTTATCAGTTTTTTTTTCAAGTCTTCTATTAAGTCCAACAGTTTCTATTACATGTAAATGATAAAATTCTTATAAAAGAATAAATATATCCCAAGAGAAATACCGTCCAACTGTTCAAAAAATAAAACTTTACATTTAGTCAATTGTAATTCTGTGTCCTTTTTAATAGTGATAATGTTCTCACTGAAAATTATATGTTTGCAAAGATTTGTTAACTGAAAAATCAGGTTGGCCTTTCCACATTTTAGAAATAGACCTTTGGTAACTCGTCTCACTGTTTAGCTATACTAAGAAAATAAGTAAAGTTAATTAGTGCATTTATTATCTATCAAGAACTACTCTGGGGAGTTCCATATTTGCTTCATTTAATCCACAACTTTCTGTGAGCTTGGTATCATCCATATTTCACAGGTGGGAAGCATAAGGATCAGATCTCTGGTAAATGCTAAAGGTTGAGTTTAAAAGTGGCCTGTAAAAGTCTAAAGCCCAAGGATTGCATACACCAGAGAAGTTGCTAAGAACACCCACTTACTAATCTGTCAAATAAAGATGTTACATAAACTTATATTAGGCTTTTATAACTATCCAGATGTCAACAGCAATTCTATAGCCTTTGAAACACATACATAATCATGAAAAATGTGCAATATATAAATAAAGCAATAAATAAAACACTTAACATGACCATTATACATTCATAACATAAATTGTAGCATTAAGGAAACAGCTACATATTCTTTTTAATGTTTCTATTTAAAGTTACTCAACAACAAATTAAACAATAAACTCTAAGCTACAGATCTTCCAATGTCTCAACTTTATATTTGAAAATAGTTCTACAGCTATCCAGACTTTGAAACTCTGCCTCCAAGAATTTATACTGAAAATAATTATAATATAACCCCATGTTCTGGTTGTATGAATGCTGATCACAGTGTTGTTGTTTTGTGATGGTAGTTGTGTTTAAATAATGAAAAAGTGAACCCAACTCAACCAATGTTAAAGGATTGGTTTAATTATGGTACTACCATAAACTACCGTAATCAATGATAACCTATATTAATAATTCATACTTTTCACAATTTATTTTTATATAAAGAATACCAGGTTACAAAACAGTAATATATAATAAAAATCCATTAACATTCATGGTAGATTTGAGAGATCTTTATATTTAGATTTTCTTTTTCACTCTACTATAAATACATAATACTATTTTAATAATTTTAAACTACATACTTTCTGAGTAAAACAATAAATAATAACTATTGAAGGAGACATCAGAATGAATGTGGAAAAACCTTGGGAAGTTTGTTTATTTTATTTATTTATTTTTTTTGAGACGGAGTCTCACTCTGTCGCCCAGGCTGGAGTGCAGTGGCTCGATCTCGGCTCACTGCAACCTCCGCCCCCCAGGTTCACGCCATTCTCCTGCCTCAACCTCCCGAGTAGCTGGGACTACAGGCGCCAGAAACCACGCCTGGCTAATTTTTTGTATTTTTAGTAGAGACAGGGTTTCACCGTGTTAGCCAGGATGGTCTTAATCTCTCAACCTCATGATCCACCCACCTTGGCCTCCCAAAGTGCTGGGATTACAGGCATGAGCCACCGCGCCTGGCGGGAAGTTTAATAGTTTTCAATAATTAGGTTTTATCATTGTTAGCATCTGATAAAGTTTTTGCTGAAAAAATTTAGGCTGGCTATTACAGCTAAACGAATTTAAGTATATGTATGCTAATACCAAGGTATTTTATAATGGTTTTTAAAAGTCCCAATCCTTTAATTAAAATGTCAAGAAAGGGCTGGGCACATTGACTCACATCTGTAATCCCAGCGCTTTGCAAGGCAGGAGGATTGCCTGAGCCCAAGGGTTCAAGATCAGCCTGGGCAATAGAGCAAGGCCTCATGTCTACAAAACATTTTTAAAAATTAGTTAGGGGTGGTGGCATGCATCTGTGGTCCCAGCTACTCAGGAGACTGAGGCAAGAGGATCACTTGAGCCCAGGATTTCGAAGCTGCAGTGAGCCATAACTACACTATTGCACTCCAGCCTAGGTAACAGAGCAAGACTTTGTCTCTAGAAGAAAAAAATAAAGCATGCCAACACCTAATCATATTGATTTTTAAATGTCAAATATTAGACATTTTGATGAATTTCCTTAAAATATTTAGTCAATCTTATATGATAAGCATTTATACTATATAATCCATCATAAACTATAGCATTAAATATTTTTCTCTAGTAATTTCAGAAATTTTACTAACCAACATTATACAAAAATTTCAACTTTGAAATGAAAAAAAAAAACTGGGTTTTTTGGTTTGTTTCTTTGTTTTTAAGACAAGGTCTCACTCTGTCACCCAGGCCAGAGTGCAGTAGTGCAGTGATGGCTCACTGCTGCCTAGAAATCCTGGGCTCAAGCAATCTTCCCACTGCAGCCTCCCAAGTAGCTGGGACTACACCTGTGCATCATCATGCCTAACTAATTTTACTTTTTTGTAGAGATGGGGTCTCACTATGTTGCCCAGGCTAGTTTTGAACTCCTGAGCTCAAGCAATCCTCCTACCTCAGCTTCCCAAAGTGCTCGAATTACAGGTGTGAGCCACTGCACCAGCCAAACTAGACTATTAAAGGCTCCTTTCGTCACTGAGGAGGTACTATTTAATACATTACAGAAGCCCAAGTAACACGGTCTAATCACATAGTGACCAGATAAAGTGGGACTTGTACTACATCTGAAGCTATCATTCTTGTTTCCAAACATATGTTCAATAATTGCTTTCAGGGACATGAAGGTAAATTATTAAAATGAGAGTATTTAGCCTAATACATCATCGTTCTACTTATACTTCTGCAATCCAGAAGAGTACTGTGATGTGTGATGTGTCAACACCATTAAAGCACACCCATGAACACAGGTCTACTAGTGTTTGTAGGACACTGGTAAGAGGACTCCATCTATACTCACGGAGTTATGGCCAATTAAAGATGGGAATAGGTGGCCAGGTAAGGTGGCTCATGCCTATAATCCCAGCACTTTGGGAGGCCGAGGCGGGCAATCGCAAGGTCAGGAGTTCGAGACCAGCCTGGCCAACATGGTGAAACCCCATCTCTACTAAAGATACAAAAAAAACTTAACTGGGTATGGTTACGCATGCCTATACTCCCAGCTACTCAGGAGGCTGAGGCAGGAGAATCGCTTGAACCCAGGAGGCAGAGGTTGCAGTAAGCCGAGATCGTGCCATTGCACTCTAGCCTGGGCAACAGGGCAAGACCCTCTCTCAAAAATAAATAAATAAATAAATAAATACTATAATTGGACAGAAGCTAAAAAAACAACCGTTAAATCTTATTTATTTATCATAATAACAAGACGACAAACAATTAGTGTTTTTGAAGATATGGGATCATAGGTACTTGGTAGATATTTTTAACACTTGTACTTGAGACTGCAAAATAAAGGTCTGATGGAATACATAAAATCACTTAGTGAAAGGATACTCACATGGTCTATAAGTAACACCCCACAGATAATATGGTTTTGCAATACAGATCTGAAATACTGTTATCTTAACCAAGTGAGCAAAACTTAGCATCTCTAAGAATGGAAAAATCAGACATCATGTGGCTCTTGGTGTGATGCAATGGAAAATTTACAACTTAACCTACATAAAAAGCTTCCCTAATGTATTAAACCTAAATCATGAAGAAATAATCAAACAAATCTAAATTGCAGGTATTCTATGAGAAAACTAGGACCCACTTTTCAAAAATGTCAGTGCTAGATTAGAAATGATTAAAGAAACACAATAATCAAAAGCAATGTGTTAACTCTGGCTGTAGACAAAAACAAAGTGGCTATAAAGAACATATTTGGAACACTGGGGAACTCTCAATACAAACAGTATACGAGGTTATATTAGTGTATCAATATTAAATTTTTTGGGTATGAAAATTTCATGGTCTTGTGATCATGATGAAAATGCCCATGTTCTTAGAAAAATATGTTCAAATATTTAGATGTAAGGTGTCATTATGTCTGGATCTTATTTTCAAATTGTACAGACCAAAAGATGTGTATTCACATACTCATAAAATGGTAAGTGGAGAATCCAGGTGAAGGATAAATGAGTATTCATTGTACTAGTCTTTCTATAGGTTTGAAATTTTTCAAAATATAAAGTTGAACACAAAAACTTCAGTGTACTGTTGAAAAAAACTGAAGAGAGAGAGCCTTAAGATTTAACCTTAACTTCAGAATAAGAAGACAAGCATAGAAGTATGAGTTCTTAATACATACTCTTTTCTCCTCGTGGCTAATGAAAGCCTTATTTTCCTCTAATGTTTTATCTAGATCTTCATCAAGAAGTTTAGTTTCCACATTTTGAGTTTCTTCAGCGTTTTCTAGCTCCTCAACCAAATCCTCGTCTTCCATCAAATCTTCTAGACTATTTTCCCATGAAATGGTGGCTCTTTTTACATTTAATATTTTACTGTTTGAATTACTGTCTAGTGATACATCTTGAGAAGATTTGACAGGTCCAAATAATTTCTCTTGAGAGGAATTTAAAGTGTCTGGGACACAAACCTGTTAAAATATTCAATGTGACTTTTAAAACAGAAAAGACAAGAACTGTCCACTAGAAAATGATTATTTTATAAATTTAAGTCAAATGAACACTCAAGTGTTAAGGAAAAACTATTCAAACAAACATACAAACAGGAATCACCATCCCTAAAAGAACATTCTGATAGGAAAAAAGCTACTTACACATGTAAACTAGAGGAAAAATCTATCTTCCTGGGCTAAGTGTTCAGTATTAATCTTAGCAGAGGGTTTTCCAATCACCCAGAAGTACCAAATGAACAAGATGAATGGCAGAGCAGACAATTCATTCCAAAAATACTCATTAATTTATAACTGATGTTTATTACTAATTCTTATTACTAAAGGTCATTTTAATCCTAGCATGGGCAACTTTCAATCCTTTCTCATGTCTTCCTACTTGGTTAAATATTTACCTTTTTAATTTTCAATTATTTCCTAGGCTTACAGTATTAAGTAAAAAATATTTATTTCAAGAAAAACTGTTAATATTCTAATAATAAGAGGCTTAATAAAATAAATATTTACTTTTTGTGCAATGGCGGAGAACTTCAATACATTGAGTGTTTCATCATAGGCTAAATAACATTGGCTGATATTGACAATCATACAAATTTTCCCTTTACCATTAAAAAAACTTTGAAAATAGTGAGTCAGTTTACTTTCCCGGAAAGGCACATGCTGTTGAAACCTACAGAAAAAATTTTCAGAAAACATTGTAAGTTAAAAAACATCTCATGAAATCAGGGTGCTGAGACATTTTACAAAGAAATAATTAAGCCACCTATCATGAAATTAAACTTTAGGGTAGTGATTAGTTTCAGATGTAATAGTCCTTCTCAGTTTTCTTTTTATCTTTTCTTGTTTGTTTTTGTTTTTGTTTCTGTTTTGAGACAGGGTCTAGCTCGGTTGCCCAGACTGGAGTACAGTGGCACAATCAGAGCTCACTGTAGCCTCAACATCTTAGGCTCAAGCGATCCTCTCGCCTCTGCCTCCAGGGTAGCAGGGATTACAGGTGCCTGCCACCACACCTGGTTAATTTTTTTATTTTTATTTTTAGTAGAGATGAGGCTGGTCTTGAACTCCTGGGCTCAAGCAATCCTCCTGCCTCGGCCTCCAAAAGTGCTGGGATTACAGGCATAAGCCACCATGCCTGGCTGTTTGTTTTAACTGCTGCTACTTACTAACAATAACCCACTATGTAAATTATAAAGAAAACCACATTTAACTGGGTTATGTTCCCTAGTATAGAGCAAGTATATAAGAGATGTCATGAAACACCCTAAATAGAAATGGTGAAGGCTGATTTATATTTACTCAGCCTAAAATGCTAATTAATGTAAAAATCTATTGCATCTAGAACCACACACAATGCATTAATAAGAATAAAGTGGTTTTAGATCCTAAACCAGCATTAGAAGCTTCTCATTTACAGTGTCTATTGGTATAGATTTGCCATGGAAAATACTGACTTTACCTGATGAGTTACTGGCATCAACTGACATTTCTATCATTGTCTTTAATCCAAGATCTCTTAAGTACTTGAATCACAATCTATACACAGTCATTACATAAGAAGCAGTTTAAAAATCAAAAAAGAACTTTCTAAAAACAAAAAAGTTGAAAGTTTAAATATTGTAATATTTAATATGCTAATAACACTTTCAGAAACACTTACTTTGACTTTTCACTATTCTTCAAGACGTTAATACACTTTCCCAGAGTCAATAAAGAAGTGTTGATATTCCCAGTCTCTCTTAACCTTTCACCTTCATTCTGTGTCTTCATAGTTCGTTCTGAACCAGCAAGATCACATAAAGATAATCTGAATTAAGAAAAAAAAAGTACTTTAAAAGTTCTTCAAAACAATTACAAATAATTAAATTTAAAGAATATTCAACTTACTCACTGACTCGAATTACACGAGACATTTCAGAATCTTCAATCTGTAATATTTTAACAGTGAATATGCTGTGACTGAAATACAAAGATCAAATGTTATCTTATCATTTTTAATTTCTGCATTCTAAATAGGAGAGACAAGTATTCAAATCAATCTTATTTATACCCTAGTATAACTACAGTCCACCATTGCATTTTCCAATTAGCTGTTAAATATTTCAAGCCAGTGTTCTACTGTCACTTACATACCCAAATGCCTAAAATCACCTTTTGCCTAGCTCTAAATCCCTCAAATTATATCCTGACAGTTCAACTTCTATTAATAGTATCATTTATAATAAAGCGACATTTTGTTTGAAAAGATAATATTAGTTAAAATGATATTATGTACAGCTAGCCAATACTCTGAATACATACCTAAAGCAAAGCATACATTTGACCTATAGATCCGGATCTTGTATTGTCCCATGCCCAACTGACTACGGGAACAGGGCTCCTTCTCTAAGAAAAAGCCTGCTTTAATTATCTCACTGCTTAAACTTATTTCCTTTGCCTCTCATCCCCCAATCCCATCAAAACTTCCTTCCTTAACCCCTTGAGATTATACCCTCACTGAGTATATTTATATAGTATTCAGGGGATAAGTGAGAAAGACCCAGAGAAAAGGCCACCATTATTACCAACTCCAAAAATACTGAGCTTAGATACTGACATAAAGAAAGAGTAAAAATACCTCAGAGATTTCCTATAAATTAATAAATCTACTGTCAGGACAGGAAACAGTATTGATAAACGTGTTTAGTGTTATTCTGTATACCAAATGTTTTTTATGCCTTATGAATTTAACACGAGAGAACCTACTGCCCACTTTAATGTAAAATTAGCTGTGTTTAAATTAACACAGAATACTATCGGTGATTCGAGTTTACTCTTACAGAGTTTATTCTTTACCTTCTACTGGAAGCATTATTCAATTTTGTGAAGGCAACACTCTGGTGCTTTATTCCTAGTTTTAAAAGTCTATAGGCTTCTTTGGAATCAGATACTTGAATCCATTGTAGATCTTTAAAAAATAAAGAGGATATATATTAATTTATTGAGACAAAGAATGTGTTCTACAATGTAATCTCTTTGAAAGTCTTTTCCTAGTGACATATAATGAAATCTTTCTTCTAACAACACATCCTAGCTGGAGTCAACTCAGCTATTTCAGGTTACACCAGAGAAGATTGTAACAATGTTCTAGAATGTAAATTACACAAACACACAAAATAAATGTTTGTCAACAGAGTCTGCCAAACGGAAAATTGAATACAGTAACAATTCCTTAGAATTAGACACTCAGGGAAAAAAAGAGTGGCAAAGTACAGTACAGATTAAACCTGTAAAATTACCTAGCTATTAAACACTGAAGATTGTAATTTATTAGTGAATCATAAAATCAGATTTATTGAATCATGACCAGTATTTTAATTTTTATTTATTTATTTATTTATTTATTTATTTTGGAGACAAGGTTTCACTCTGTTGCCCAGCCTGGAGTGCAAAGGCGTGATCATGGCTCTCTACAGCCTTGACCTCCTAGGCTCAAGTGATCCTCCTGCCTCAGCCTCCTGAGTAGCTGGGACTACAGATGCATACGATCATGCCAGGCTAATTTTTGTATTTTTTGTAGAGATGGCGTTTTGCCATGTTGACCAAGCTCGTCTCGAATTCCTGAGCTCAAGTGATCCACCTGCCTCAGCCTCCCAAAGTGCTGGGATTACAGGTGTGAGCCACTGCATCTGGCCAGCATTTTGTAGAAATGACAAAGAATATAGAAAATATTACAGTGCATTCCTTGTAGTAAAAGTATAATTAACGAAACTTTTGAGTTGTAAATATTACATATGAATATATATACATGCATGTAGGTACTGAATCATGATGTTATTAATATGTGTTTCCTACTGTGAATAATTGTTTTAAAAGGTTAGAAAAACCACTCCGGAAGAATAGTAACATTTCATAGCTCCAAAATTTGGACACTGTTACAAAGCAGGAGAATAACGTGAACATAACCATACACAGCTTTTCCCATCACCACAAATCCAATTAATGATACTCAAGCAAATACAATACCAAAATAGACCCTTTTATATTCAAGTTTAATAAATATACCAAAACATACTTCCAAAGCACAAAATTATCTTCTTCTCTTAATGTTAATAATTAGCATTACAATTTTCAATTTTCTATTTGTTTTAGTCTTACAGCTATCACAAAGCCCAGGAAGAGAACTTCAGAGCAATAAGATAAAAATATTCATTAGTATACCTTTTATAAAAGAATAGCCCTTTACGTCTTGGGAAAGGCGCAGCATCTTTCTCTTTTGGAATTTAGATGATACAGGAACAAATAAGTCATAAATATATTCATTGTAAATTTCAAAGAAAGAAACCCACACAGAAAATTTTATACTATTAGCCATATTCAAGTTGGCTTGTTCATAATCTTTTATGGATTCTTCAAACTCTGAGATATTCAAAGAGTTAGTTAAACTTCCTACAAAAAAAAGAAAAAGAAAAAACAATCACGAAAGTAAGCAACTGACTAAAAACGTGACAAAAGTACAAATCGATTCTCACACTTGAAAAACCAAGTATGCTTAATCTTTTGACCATCTATGTTAAAAACTTTTTGGAACAAAGGAAGATGTAAATAATATGTGGATTAACCAAAGTTAGACAACTTCTTATAATTCCTTTCTTTTTGAAAATATGTTAATGAACCAATAGAAATTAAATGTAAAGGACAAAGAAAAACAAGTGTCTTTCAAATTCAATATTAAAATTGTAACCAGTAAAAGGGATATCTGTAATATTTAATACAAACGAAACATCACAATGACTGACATTTCATATAAATATGTATCATTTTCCAGGTATCACCGACTATGTCATTATAGAAATTAAATCCTTAGTAACCAAAGAAGAGGTCTATAGAAAAAAAATAAATAAATACAAGGTGAAAATTTTTTTTTTTGAGACAGTTTCACTCTGTTGTCAGGCTGGAGTGCAGTGGCGCGATCTCGGCTCACTGCAACCTCCACCTCCTGAGTTCAAGGATTCTCCTGCTTCAGCCTCCCAGGTAGCTAGGACTACAGGCCCGCGCCACCACGCCCAGGTAATTTTTTTATTTTTAGTAGAGACGGGGTTTCATCATGTTGGCCAGGATGGTCTCAATCTCTTGACCTCATGATCCACCCACCTCAGCCTCCCAAAGTGCTGGGATTACAGGCATGAGCCACCGCGCCCAGCCTAAAAATTTTTTAATAATAAAAATAAAACATTAGAAGTGATTTAAAAATTAAAAGCTTTTCAAGTGTACTTCATATAATCGATACATCAAAGATAAGTGAGCAACGAAACCTTACCATAAAGAGTATCATCACTATCATTATGCACAGTAACCTAAAAAAAAGATTGTTTTAAAAAATTAAAAAAACATTTTCATTAAGGTTAAATAATCAAGATATTAATTACCTATCCAAATAAGTCACTACCAAATCACAACCTTTCATCTACTCAATTCAATGAATTCTTTAATTTTTCCTAGTTAAATAATATAGTTTCATGGAAAAATACAGAGAACTATGAAAAAGAATATTATCATGTATAATCCTGCCACTCTGGTTGGTTACTATTAATATTTTAAAATATTTCCCTTCTATTCTTTTCCCCACACTTATGTTGTAAGCTTTTTCTCCCCATAATTAAAAATTGTTTACAACATTTGATGGCTATATAAAACATGTGAAATGACTTAATTATTCCCTTATTATTAAACATTTAATTTATTCACCAAGTTTTGCCAAACATCTTTACATATTTTCTTCTGCATTCTTATTATTTCCTTAGAAATAGAAATAAACCCATTTCCTTGGAGTATACACCTAAAAGTGAATTGGTGGATGAAAAGATATAAAATATTTTAATGTTCTCACTCTTAACACACTATTGCCAATTTGCTTTCTAGAACCATTTACAATATATGAAAGCACATTATCTCATTTTTTTTTAACATTTTAATCATTTCATAGGCAAAACAGTATCATGTTTTAACTGGATAACTTGTTAGAATTTTTTTTTTTTTTTTTTTGAGAGAGTCTTGCTCTGTCACCCAGGCTGGAATGTAGTGGCGCAATCTCGGCTCACTGTAACCTCCACCTCCCGGGTTCAAGCAATTCTTGTGCCTCAGCCTCCCAAGCAGCTGG
The DNA here is from genome assembly GCF_000001405.40 of Homo sapiens. Taxonomy (NCBI): domain Eukaryota; kingdom Metazoa; phylum Chordata; class Mammalia; order Primates; family Hominidae; genus Homo; species Homo sapiens. The sequence continues at coordinate 89,713,243 of NC_000010.11, read as the reverse complement.
GACTACAGGTGTGAGTCACCATGCCCAGCTAATTTTTTGTATTTTTAATAGAGACGGGGTTTCGCCATGTTGGCCAGGCTAGTCTCCAACTCCTGGCCTCAAGTGATCAGCCTGCTTCAGTCTCCCAAAGTTCTGAGATTACAGGCATGAACCACCATGCCCAGTGAAAAATTTTTTTCATTATTAATGATTTTAATTTCCTCTATGAATTGGCTATGGAGTTATCCACCAATCCCCATAAATTTTGTTAAAACACTATTCTACTTTCAGAGACCATAGTCACAGACTCAACTTTGAACTCCACTGGTAACACACTTTTTACTGCCTTAAAACCCTGGTTTCTAAATGTTTTAAAAAAGAAAAATTTGCATTAATAATAATAGGGTAAAAATATTTACAAAAACAATTAGTAGTTTTTAACAGCCTTGAATAGAATAATGTCTGAAAATATACTACAAAATCCAGAAGGCACAAGAGGAATAAACAGACAAGTATAACTTCATTTTTAAAAGTTTATATGGTACCACCTTATATAAAACAATACCTCCTCACAGTATATTACATATTTATTTATTGTCAGTCTCCATGAGGGCAGTACCATTTGTCCTCAAAACTGAAAATATTGCCTGGAAAAAAAACAGATGACTTAATAAAATTTGCTGAATAGATGAATACTGAAAAACACAATGGGCCAGGCTTGGCAGCTCAAACATGTAATCTCAACACTTTGGAAGGCCAAGGGAAGAGGATCTCTTGAGGCCAAGAGTTCAAGTCCAGCCTAGGCAACATACCAAGACCCCATTTCTACAAAAAAAATCAAAACAGCCAGGAGTGGTGGCATGCCCCTGTAGTTCCAGCTATTCAGAGGAGGTCGAGGCAGGAGAATCACTTGTGCCCAGGAGTTCAAGACAGCAGTGAGCTATGATCATACCGCTATACTCCAGCCTGGATGACAAAGCAAGATCCTGTCTCTAAAAACTAAAAAAAGGAAGAAAAAAAAGAAAAACACAATGGGGGCAGGGGAGAAGCAAACAATAAGCCAGAAAATTTGCAACCCATACACTAATACATTAATAATGTATTCATTTTTTTAAATACATTTTAATAAATCAGTAAACAAGAAAAGTCATACAATACTAGATAAATGGACAAAGAACATGTGACAATTCACAGGAAAAAATTCTAAGATGTACTAATCAACTAATTTACAATTAAAAAAATATAAAGTAGGCTCAAGTGAGCCATTTTTCACCTATCAAACCAGACATTATTAAATATCCAATCTTGGCCTGAGTTTGGGAAAATTAGCACCAAATATATTTGCAATGGAATGTTTCTTTACTGAAACACTGTTCAAAATAGTAAAACACAGAAACAATACAAATGTCCATCAATGGAGACTTAGTTTTAAAAGCTGATTTAAAATTTAAAAAAACAAGTTAAAGACATAACAGATAAAACGCACATGATTTAAGGTAGGAAGAGATTTAAGATACGCTAAATGAAATACCAAGTCATAGAATGGTAAGCATAGTAAGATCTCTTTTTTGTTTAAAAAAAAAAATTATATCATACATATAAAAACAAAGGTATGAAGATATACACATCATATATATGACCATGTTTGTGTATATACAGATAGAAAGCTCTGTATATGGATTTTATATAGAGAGAGAAAAGGTCCAAAAACAATACTTCCCAATCTATTAATAATTTTTTCTTTAGGAATGAAATTAAAGGAAACTTTTACTTTTTACTTCTCACATTCCCTATTTTAAATTTTGGGTACATATTACTTTCACAATTAAAAAACAGAATTTTAAAAAATCATTACATAAAAAGCACAATGCTGGCTCTACAACAATCAAAAAAGATTTCAGAACCATTTACATTTGTATTGTTTAAACATTCTTGCTGTTGGTATAATATAAATACAAAAGATGTCTTCACACTTTAAGCTTTATTTTTCTCGAAAACATAAATAATAACAAAAAACACTACCACCACAAACCAGATTCCAATATATGGTGAAACAATCTAAAGGGTTTATAAGAAGTCAGGAATTATACATATTTTACATACTAAAATATTTCCATACCTCTTTAATTTGCCGAAGCAATGCACTTTTGCTAGCAATTTCTTCTTTCTCTTGTTCTGATGATAACCTTAAGTATTCTCTGGATCTATGTGGTTTAAGGTTCATCTTTGTATACAGTCTTTCTTGAAGACTATCAAATAATACATTCAAAGTTCGAGGCAGAATGCCAATATTTTCTTCTGTCCCTGCAAAAGGAATTTTTGTGTTATACTCTCTCAGTCTACTAGGAAAGAGGAAACTTTACTTGTTTATTAAAGCTCCTTTTATACTACCAATAGGCAAGAGTCAACAACTGAAACGGAAATGATAGCTAAGGATTACTCAGTTTTCCATCACTTTGTTATTCACAGTATTACCAACATTTTATTGACTATTATTCTGATGTAAACATGAAACTTTACATTCAGATAATGCAACCATATTAAGATTTGTAACCACCCATAATCACAAACTATAAAAGTAAAATGAAATATAAAATTTCTTCTGGTCATTTATGCTTAATTCTCTGTATCACATCAATACTTTTTCTGGATTTTAATCATCATCTAAATCTCTATCAATGGGTAAAGTATTTTTACAAATGAATTAAATAAATTTGAATTAAAAGCCAATAGCAAGGCCAGGCATGGTGGCTCTTGCCTGTAATCCAAGCACTTTGGAAGGCCAAGGTGGGCATATCACCTGAGGTCAGGAGTTCGAGACTAGCCTGGCCAAAATGGTGAACCCCCATTTCTACAAAAATATAAAAACTAGCTTGGCATGGTGGCGCACGCCTGTAGTCCCAGCTACTTGGGAAGCTGAGCAGCTCAGGCAGGAGAGTCATCTGAACCCAGGAGGCAGAGGTTGTAGTGAGCTGAGATCACACCACTGCACTCCAGCCTGGGCAACAGAGTGAGACTCTGTCCCTCCCCCGCCAAAAAAAAAAAAAAACAGCAATACGTAATAATATGCTAGTACTATTAAAAATAGAGCAAACGCATACTAGGTAATAGCAACATAACTACATGTATGTATTATAAAAACACTGAGTGATTATTATTGCTTCCTTATCCTTTCCAACCAAAATAAAACAATATTTACCTTGAAATGTATATGTTTTTCCTGAATTGGTTAGCCCGTAAGTAAAAATCAGACGACTCTGTCCTTTCAAGAGGTCTTTTACTGGTTGCATAATGCAACCCTGAAAGAATTCCTTCTGTGTAGTTGCTGGGCCAAAAACCTAAGCAAACATTTTTTAAAAACTCTTTTTAGAAAATTCAAGTTAATATTAATAGTGTGTTCCATCCCAACACTACTGTTTAAAAATTTAAAAGATTCATTCTTAAAATAGGTGCCACATCCCCACTCCCACAAATACATTTGATAGTTTTACTACCAGAAAGTTTTCAAGATAGAAATCTGTACCAGGGAATCAAGTATTCACCTAAGTTTTGAAAAGAATATTTCTTAAAAATATATTAATAATAACTTTAATAAAAATATAGTAATAATAACTTTAATAACACTACAGTGATCTCTTTACATCCAATTATATATTTCCAGACCTGAGATTTGAGTCTTATCCTTAAAATCTAAGTTGCATAAGCATAAAATGTATAGTTCATTATATACAATTATATAGCAATTTAGCCTAAGCCAAGTCTCTTTATCTTTAAAACAAAAAACAAAAACACTTCAGTTTTACCTTGGAAAAACTGAATTTCTGTGCCATCTGCCCTGAGCTTTTTTCACTTAACCGACCAAGGATGCATTGAGGCTCTTTCAGCACAACAGTCTGTGAATCCAGAATATGCACACAGCCCTAGAAAACATACCCCCAATAAATAAAAACTAGTATTTTGCCATTTTAAATGAAAGTAAAATATTAAAATTCTATTAAATTCAACACAAACCTCAGACTCAAGTTCTTTTTCTGACTGTGTAAATGGTCTTATTCGAAGACAAACCTGGAGATAATCTTTAGATTCGAAACTGTTTGCCTTAAAAAATAAAGGAGAAAAACATTGTGTTTTTGAAAGATACGGCTTTTCAGAGACCATTTTTCCTTAACATGGCTACTTTTTACATAATAATCTGAGATGATAAAGAATTTCTAAGCAGTCACTATCCTGCTTTTAATAATGTTAGAAAAACTCAATAAATCTATTTAAATAAAAACAAAATACACCAAAAAAGATCCAATTTCCTCCATCTCCTGTATTTATACGTGAAGTTTATAAAAAGGCTTTATTCCACAAAAGCCTAATATAATTAATGAGGCCCTAAGTCATTGGAAAATATAACTCTAGAATAAATCAAAAGTAACTAGAATATTCTATTATTCAAATGCTCAATTCCATGAGGTATTCAGAATTTTTTTACTATGTACCATTCTCCTTGTTACTTTTTCTGAGGAAGAAATGTGCATAGAAAATGTAATTTTAAAGAAATGTTTTAATGTTTTTTTAAAAAAGTAAAAAGGAAACAACTTGATAAATGCAACTTAATCAAAACAGACATAACTAGAAAATCTGAATAACCCAATTTCTATGAAGCAAACTGAATCCATTTTCAAACAAAATAATGCCACAAAAAAAAAAATTCAGGCCCTAGTAGTTTAACAGTAAATTCTATCAAACATTTAAGAAAATGATCAGGCCAGGAGCGGTGGCTCATGCCTGTAATCCCAACACTTTGGGAGGCCGAGGCGGGTGGATCACCTGAGGTCGGGAGTTCGAGACCAGCCTGACCAACATGGAGAAACCCCATCTCAACTAAAAATACAAAATTAGCCAGGCATGGTGGTGCATGCCTGTAATCCCAGCTACTTGGGAGGCTAAGGCAGGAGAATCGCTTGAACCTGGGAGGCAGAGATTGCGGTGAGCCAAGATGGCGCCATTGCACTCCAGCCTGGGCAACAAGAGCAGAACTCCGTCTCAAAAAAAAAAAAAATACAAATTGTACATAAACTCTTTAAGAAAATATAGGAAGAGAAAATACCTTAACTAATTTTGAGTTTGACATAAGCCGAATAACACAATTGACAAAGATATCCTCAGGAAAAAATTAGAAAACAAAATACCACATTAAGATATACGCAAAATTTCCCACACAAAATACTAGCCAATATATAAAACAGGATAATACATCTGACCAAGAATGGTTTATTCTAGGAATATAAAGTCTGTTTAGCATTCAAAAATCAATCCAGGCAATTAACCATATTAAAAGAATAAATGAAGAGAAACTTTTATCTCTACAGATGGGAAAACAGCATTTGACAAAATCCAACGTCCATCTGTAATAAAAATTCTCAGCAAAGTGTAATGAATGCAAACTTCCTCATCCTGATAAAGGGCACTTACAAAAAATCTATCGCTAACAACAAACTTAACAGGAAAGACTCAATCTAAGATGAGCAGCAAAATGAGTAATAAGAAGAGGATTTCTGCTTCCCCACTTCTAGTAACATTGTATTAAAGGTTCTAGCTGGTGTAATTGGGTGTGAAGGGGGAAAGGGGATGGGGGAAGAAAAAAGGAGGGGTAAGGGAAAGAAAAAGGGAAGAGAAAAGGAAAGGAAAAAGAAAGGTAAAAGGGAAGGGAAGAAGGGAAAGAAAGAAGTGGAGGGGAGAGGAGGGGAAAGAAAAGGAAAAAAAAAATGGAAAGAAAAAAAGGAAATGAAAAGACAAAAGTCATCCAAATTGGGAAGGAAGAAATAAAATTTTCTTTATTTAGAAACAACATGAACATACGCATACAAAATCCAACAAATCTACAAAAAATTAATGTATACTAACAAAATGCTAATCAGAGGTTACTTGGAGGTGTGATGGGAGGGAGCACTTACAAGGAGCCTCAAGGAAACTTTTGAGGGTAATGGTTATACTCACTATCTTGACTGTAGTGACAGTTACATAAGTGTATGCACATGTCAAAACTTATCAAACTGCGTATCTAAAATATATGCAGTGTTTCATTATGCCTAAATAAAGCAACTAAAAATATTTACAATAGCATCAAATAACATAAAATGTTTATAAATATATTTGACAAAAGACACGAAAGGCCTCTACATTGACAAGTATAAAATACTGCTAAGACATTAAAGACCTAAATAAAATGAAGAATACTGTGTTCATGGATTAAGACTCAATATTGTCAAGATGTCAATTCTCTCCAAACTGATCCACAGATTTAATGCAATCCCAGTCAAAATCCCAAGATGCTGTCTTGTAGAAACTGGCAAGCTGATTCTAAAATTTATGAATATGCAAAGGACCTAGAAAAGCCAAAATTTTCCTAGAAAAGCAAAACTGGAGAATTCACACTACCTAATTTCAAGAATCATTATAAAGCTACAGAAATAGAGAGTATTGTGTTGGAATAAGGACAAATAGGTCAAAGGAAGAGAATAAAATCCAGAAATAGATCCACATATACACAGCCGTTTGTAAAGCACCAAAACAACAGGGAAAGGAAAGTCTTTTCAATAGATAATGCTGAAATAACTACTTATGTAGTTAAAAAAAAAAAAATGTATGGAAGCTAAAAAGAAAAAGAAAAAAGTTAACCTGGGTCCCTATATCAACTGCACACAAAAACTGTTCAAAATGGACCACAGATATAACTACTCAAATGAAAACTAAAATTTCTAGAAAAAGTAAGACAAAAACTTTGGGGAAGGCGAAAGTTTCTTAAAGAGAACACACACACAAAAAAATTCACCAAAGAAGAAAAGAAAATGTTAAATTGAATGTCTTTAAATTTTAAAATGTCTGATCATCAAGACACTATTAATCTGATAAAGGATTTGTATACATAAAGATTTCTCACAAAACACTAATGAAACAACCTAATTTAAATGGGAAAAAGATCTGAAGAGACACTTTACAAAGAAAGTAGAAAAATGGCCAAGAATACTTGAAAGAGTGCTCATTAGAAAGGGCAAACTAAAACCACAACAGGATACCATTACACATCCACTAGAAATAAAAAGTTCCATTATCAAGTGTTAGCAAAGAGGTAGAAGCACTGGAACCTACATACATTGCCACTGCTGGGATAGCCACTTTGAAAAACAGTTTAGTAGTTACTTATAAAGTTAAACTTATACAGTTTGTATTCCTAGGTATTTACCAAAGAAAAATGAAAACACAAGTTCACAAAAAGGCTTGCACATGAATGTTCAAAGCAGCATTATTTATAATGACCTCAAACTGTAAACTACCTAAATGTCCATCAAACGACAAATGGAAATGTGGCATATCTGCACAACAGACAACTATTTAGCAATAAAAAGGGAAAAACTACTGATGTATGACACACGACAAATCTCAAAAACATCATGCCAATCCAGGAGTCAATAAATTTTCTCTGTAAAGAGCTAGACAGCTAATATTTTAGGTTCTAGAGACCCTATAGTCTCCTCACAACTACTCAACTCTGCCATTATAGTGCCACAACGGATGTAGTAAATAAATAAACCAATAAGCACGATTGTGATGCAATAAAACTTTATGGACAGTGATGTTTGAAATTCATATAATTTTTATGTTATGTGACATTATTCCTATTTTGATTTTTCTTCCACTATTTAAAAATATAAAAACAATTCTTAGCTTGTATCTAAGTACAAAAACAGGTAATACAAAAACAGGCCATTGTTTGCCAACCCTTGCATTAGAAGGAGGCATGATAATCAACACAATACTTTTCTTGTACTTACCTCAGTATTTGGAGCAACTAAGGAAAATTCATGAGACAGATCAAGCTTAATGCCATCGAAATTTATTTCTGAAGGCCTTGCAATTGGGTCAGCACTAAAAACATAAGATGGTCGAGGTACTCCCTCTTGATTAAAATTAGATTCCATTCTGCAAGAATAACAGCAACTTCTTTAACAACCTTAATAAGTCAGCATGTAAGCCACCCACACTTTCAAAAGTCTAGCCCACTACTTCCCTCCAAATAACTAGATTTTAGAAAAGAAACGCATTACATTGCTTCATTTATAACACAATGCCCTACAGGAAAGACTAAAGATCAAATTATATTTACAGACTCTGATTCTAATAATACTGAACACAGCCTACTATTTTCATATAATATCCATTCAAAGAGGTTTCGTGAGTACAGGTAATCTGTAAAGATGGTATAAAATATTTACTCTCTCCGTGAAATCCTCTCAAAACTCAAATAGTAAGGAGATCACAGGGTAAATTATAACCTTGTGTCATCTACTTAGTGACTCCTGTAGAATGTTACTTACAGACTTTGTTTTAGCATTTAAAAGTTAAAACTCAGTTATCTGGGTCTGGTGCGGTGGCTCACGCCTGTAATCCCAGCACTTTGGGAGGCCAAGGCGGGTCGATCACGAGGCCAGGAGTTCAAGACCAGCCTGGCCAAGATGGTGAAACCCCGTCTCTACTAAAAATACAAAAAAAATTAGCCAGGCGTGGTGCCAGGCACCTGTAATCCCAGCTACTCGGGAGGCTGAAGCAGAAAATTGCTTGAACCCGGGAGGCAGAGGTTGCAGTGAATCGCGATCGCGCCACTGCACTCAAGCCTGGGTGACAGAGTGAGATTCCGTCAAAAAAAAAAAACAAAACAAAACTCAGTTATCTGAAAAATTGTTTTCAATTTCAAATTCAAGTAAAAAGTAAAATAATATATGTAAACACATTCAAAACAGTACCTGACACATCACAGGTTTTAAGTTAAATAGGAATAATGCATCAGTAAACTATTACCATTGAATTAAACATCAAATCACTAAACTAAAAGGTAAACTTAAGGATAACCTTAACTAAAAAATACTAACATTCTAATATTTACTGAGAATCTACTAGATGTACAATACCAGAGAGAGGAGGAGGACTCTGTGCTGTTTTTTGACAAGATTAAAAAATATACAGATCAGTGACTCCCAAACTAAGGTTCCTAGCTCAAGAAAGTAGTAACGACCATCACCCACAGGTATTATATAAAATGAACCAAAGATGGCCCTTGCATAATAGCTCTACAGTGTAAACTTCTTCACAGCTGGTAGGGATCTTAGCTCAAAAGCCCACTGGATCAAGGACCATGAATGTTTAAAATAAAAATTAAAAAGCCTACGGCCGGGCGCAGTGGCTCACACCTGTAATCCCAGCACTTTGGGAGGCCGAGGTGGGTGGATCACGAGGTCAGGAGATCGAGACCCTCCTGGCCAACATGGTGAAACCCCGACTCTACTAAAAATACAAAAATTAGCCGGGTGTGGTGGCATGCGCCTGTAGTCCCAGCTACTAAGGAGGCTGAGGTAGGAGAATCGCTTGAACCCAGGAGGCAGAGGCTGCAGTGAGCCGAGACTGCGCCACTGCGCTCCAGCCTGAACACAGAGCAAGACTGCGTCAAAAAAAAAAAAAAAAAAGGGAAAAGCCTGCTGGGGCGCCAAAGTCAAATTCTGAAGCATCCATTTACTTTCAAAATGGCCCAAAATAAGCATATTTTTAGCCATTTAGAGCCTGCCAGGTTTGAATGCCCCATGAAACTGCACCCAACATTTGCCAGACACATAAAACCCGGGATTATCAAGACCCCCAAGCCACTGCTGCCCTTGAGAGTTTCTATGATCCGGAGACTCTCCACTGTGCAACATCATTTAGGCATGTAAGCCCCTCTATGATTCTTTCCTCCCCGACTCCCCATTCCCCTTGCCCTCTTTCCCCTCTAGATGGTGGCCCCTCACCCTGGTCTAGAAAAGGTCCCAAACTGAGACGGATTTCCTTTGCCTACAATCCTGTCAAAATCCTTGTTTATTCCTGCCATCTTGTTGTCAATCTTTTTCCTTGATCAGGCTGAAATTCCTAAACGTATCACAAGAACATAGTTGACTTTTTTCCCCTAAATTGCAAAAAGACTAAGGAAAGCACTGATCTAGATCATGGGTAAGGGGGTGCAGAGGGGGGAGCATCTGCAAAACGTTAAAGTACCGGCCTGACATTTCATAACACAGAGTTCATGGAAATGCCCAGAAAACTAAAAAACACCTGTGGCTTCAAATAATAATTTTTGGTTTAAAGAAAAGTGTTGATAAATCTTTTAAATTGCTGAATTAAAAAGAATATTCCTATGTACTAAAAGCAGTTATAATAAAGTATTTGTTCATATGCTCATTTTTCAATGAACAAACTACTTCCTAGCATTTCTAAAAGTGTTCAGACTTACTGTAACTTCTTGCGATTTTAGATGACTTCTACTTATACGTGGCCTTCCCAACTAAACTGGAAACTTCTTGATGGCAAGAACCTTGCCTTATACCACTCTGTATCCCCTATAACAAATTCAGCGACTTATGCAGGGATAAAGACTACCTAATGACTTAAAATAATGGTTATAAAGAAAATACTATTCCAAAAAAAAAAAAAAAAGTCGGTCCTAGTCTGTAATATTATCTTTCGTGACAGCAGGCTCCAAGACCTCATTTTTCATTTCAAAAGGCTGCTCTGACTGGAAAACTGCATATTTACCCTCTCTCCAATAAGAATCCACAATTGGAGACTTTGGTGAAAAATAGCAGAATCTGTTGCTGAATGAGGTTTCTGAATGTGGTCTACAACACAAAGCCTCAAAAAAAGTCTTCACAACTAATCGATGAGTATTTTATGTTATTTTTACAATTTAAAATCTGGAGTCTTGGACATGTAAGATAAATACACTGTTACACTACCTAACCCATAAGGCGTGAACTTCTGTAAACTAGTAGTTTAGCAAGAAATATAAGAGAACTGTGCCAGACATGCATCACTGAACCAGCGAGCGAATCGAGATGGAGAAAGCCTTCTAAACTGGGGAATGACAGCAGTCACTGTGCCACAAACTCTTCAGCCTGGCACTGCAAAACCCTAGAAGGGCAAGCCCCAAGGACCAGTAGGAGTAGTCTGGAAATAAGTGCACAGAGGCTACCACAGGGCTCCCCCCGCAAAAAGGCCGTGTTACCTACCAGCCGAGCAAACTGCTCACCTCAGAGCTTCAGAAAACTAGGTGTGGCAAAACAGGCCTGTTCCTCAACAACAACAGAAGCAACAACAATAATAATATTAATAACTGCAAACATTTAGTACCTACTGTGTGCCAGCACTAATAACTTTACACATTACCATTTAATCTTCACAAAAGCCGAAAGAAATAGACACTTCATTGCAGCCTTTTAACTGATAAGAAAACTAAGGTACAGAGAGAGATTAAATGAATTGTCTTGCGTCACTCAGCTAATTAGCAGTGGAGGCGAGATTTAAACCGTAACCGAATTAGTATGACTCATTCCTCGCTGCGTACCCCGTGTTCGCATCGCTCCGCAACCCAGTTCCTGACAGTAACCTCCACTGGGGTATGAGCCCTGTCGGAACATGTCCACATTGCCAAAGCCGTTTCCCCACCTTAGGCCCCATACATGCGCAGTCACCCACCTCCTTCCCCACACATTCCCGCGGGTCACCTCCTCACCTGCAAACTTCGCCTGACTAGCCAGACCCGCGAGCAGCACTGCGATGTTACCGTTTTCAAATTCAAACAATGGCGGCCAGGGCACCGCACTGAACGCTGGGAGTAGGTGGGGCGTCCAGAGCTCCGCCAGGGAGCGTAGCCGGCTCGCGCTGCGGGCTTTCCAGTGGCTACCGGAAGAAGCTCTCCAATATGGGGGCGGGTCTTGAAACGCGGGCAGCCAATGGGCGGAAGCAGGCGTGGGCCGCCCTGGTGCTGACGGTCTGGTTTGCCTCCCAGCTCTGCTAGCCGGGCTTTAGTAGTGCGCTTTCTCGCGGCTGTCATAAGTACCACGCTGTTGACTGGGACACCGATCTCCAATTCTGTCCTTGAGGCAATAAAGATGTGGCGAAGGCCCGAGGTGAGGCCACTGCCACTGCACTTAGTCCTGCGACTCCCCTAAGGACGGGCCGAGGAATGGCGGGCTAGCCACTTCCCAGTCCTGTCCCTACGGGGCAGAAAAAGGCTCGGCATCCCGGGATCCGGAGGGTCACTTCCCTCGCTGCATCCCCATTGTGCAACTGCCAGTCTAAAAATTGATATAGGTAAGCTTATGAATGCTAAAACTAATGAATGCAAGATGCTAAAACAAACAATTAACTGAAAGGTTGTAGGGAAGAGGATGTTAGTATCTCAAAGAATCACCCTACAGATCATTTCTTATTATAAAGGGAAAATAGAATTTTACACTGAAGAGATTTATTAGACATACCTTAACCAAGTGAAGATACTTAGCATCGCTAATATCACCCGATAGTATTTGTGCTAGAAATGTTTGACATTAATCATGAGGAAACAATCAGAAAAAAACAATGTAGAATATTCTACAAGACAACAGGCCTAGGCTCTTCAAAAATGTCAGTGTCATGACAGGAAAAAGAAAAAAACGAAGTGGAAAATTACTTTAGTCGAGAGTCAAAAGAAACCAAATGAAATTTGTGAATCTTGGCTGGTTCATAGTTTTTAAAAAAAAAAAAAAACTTCGAAAGACATTTGTGGACAACTGGGGAAATTTAAATATGAACTACATATTAGATGATATTGAATCAGTTTTAAATTGATTGCATGTGAGAATTAATTTGTGATTAAGTGGAAGAATGCCTTTGTTTTTGGAAGGCGCTTGCTAAAGTAATTAGCAGCAAAGTGTCACAGTGTTTGCGGCTTACCTTCAAAAGATATGGCAAAAAAATAGAGAAAGCAAATGTGGCAAAATATTAGTAATTGGTGAATCTAGTTGAAGGGTATAATGGTGTACATCGTACCAGTCTTGCAACTTTCTAAAATAACAGATTTTATAAAATAAAAAGAGGAGGGGGGAAAAGGAATAGAATTCTGATCTTTACCATGGCCTCCCAGGTCCTGCACAATCAAGTGTCAGCCGACCTCACTCCCCACTAACTGTACAGTAAGTTGATCTGCTCTGGATACCTCAAACACCAACTTCTTTCCAGCATGTATGAACCTTTGCATGGGTTGTTCCCTGTACCTAAATTCTCTCTTCTCCATTCAACACGTGGCACTTCCCTTCATCATTTAGGTTACGTCTAAAATAGTACCTTCTTAAAGAAGACTTTCCTGGCTACTGTATCTCAAGTGAGCACTCTTTTTTTATTTGCAGGTTCAATTTCATTTTTATACTTTTTACAACTAGCAATTGTTGTTGTTCCCCCACCCTGTAAAATCTAAGTTCTGTGAGTAGAATAACTGTGTTTTGTTTGGTCGCTAATGTATCCTCAATGACTCTCTAACACAAGACAAGCAAATCAATATTTGTTGAACAATGAATGAAAGCTGATGTGGCTGGGTAGAGACCATGGGGAGGAGTCAGGGGAGTGAATCTGTAGGCATGGGCCAAGGCCAGACCCTGTAAGCCTTAGCCAAGTTACTGACTTGAGTATTACGAAATGCTTACTGGATAACCAGTTTTAAGCATGGGCATGGTGCAATCCAATGTGCATCTATCTTTTGAAAAGGTTAATCTCCTGGAGAAACTAGAGGCAGCCAGGGAGGATGCTGTTGAACCAGTTAGGAGGCTGTTGCAAGAGATCCCAGGAAAAGATAATGATAATGTGGACTTGGAAGATGGCAGAGGAGTTGCAGAAAAGTATCCAGATTTTAAAGGTACTTTTTCCGACGTTTTTCATTTCAGCACCAGCTGCTGGGTTTTTCCCTTAGGGAGATGCAGAGCCAGCTTGATTGGGAAGTGCTTAAGATTTAGTACCCATTCCAAAGAATTCCATCTGTGCCCTTGAAATGAATATTAACATAAAATGAAAAATTTGGTAAGTTACATCAAGCTGATTTTTCTGCCCTGGCCACAGTCTCTACTGTTAGTAATAGCTAACTTTCTTTATGCCAGGTAGTATTCTTAGCACTTTATACTCATTTAATCCTAACAGTAACTCTGTAAGGCAATTTGTTGTTGTTACAGCCAATTAATAGAAGAGGAAACTGAGGCATGGAGCTAGTAAGGAAATAGTAAAGGTATCTACTAAATAGAAGTGTTGAAGATTAAATCAGGTAGTAGTGTAAAGTATTTATAAAAGTATCTGGCATATGTTAAATAATAACTTGCTTCAATTTATATAACAAACAGAGAGACTGGAATTTGAATCTGGGTGATCCGGCTTCAGAGTCTGTGCATTCTTTGGCCTCTCAAAGTTTGGATCCAACACCCCTGGAATTCTCTTAAGAAAATACTAAGTGCTTAACTCCACCTGCAAAGCCATCTCTAGAAGCAAGACTGAAGCAGCTGACTTTTCAACCCCAAAATAATACTTTTGAGTATGTATTAATTGCAAAGGTTTAAATAACAAGTTCAACAAAAATTTATCAGCCACCCACTAAGTGACAGATGTCTCTACCCTTGAGAGGCTCTTAAGAGGCCTTCATCTAAAGTAGCCCTTCTCAACCTGGGATTTCAAGAGACAATTAATCCCTAATGCCTTTAGGCACCCATTGTATATAATGTATTAACTTCTTTCATATACATCTAGAATGGCACTGGTTCTACACCGTCCTGAAAATAATTTTTTTATCTCCTGTGGTTCATATGGGGAAATCCATATGCAAAGTATTTCAAAACATGACAAATGTTGTAATAGAAATGAACAAGGAATAATGGGAGCAGAGTGAGCATAGCTTAAAAGTAATGGCTGTGAAGTCAGACTTGAGATTGAGTATAAGCCCAGCCACTTATAGGGCTCATAAAATTGTTGTAAGGATTAAAATAGCATATGTAAGTTATTTAGTATAATCCTGGTACATAGTAGGTTTCATAGTGGTAGGAATATTTATTAAATCTGTTTGTTAAGTCATTAGAATGCAAACTCGTTACTATCTTGGTCCTCTATAGCCCCAACATCTAAAACCGTACCTTGCACAAAAACAAGTACTCAATAAATACTTTTTGATGTAATAAGGGATGTCTACTAGGGAAGATTTCGTAATGTAGCATGTAGGCTGAAGAAAATGATTGGGATTTGCCAGTGAATTACAGGAGGAGGCTATTCCAGGCCATGGAAGGCTGTGAGACAATGATAAAAAGAACAAGAGTTCACAAAAGATTCCAAAAACTAAATACCTACTTCAGCATGACTGTGAACATTAGCTGAAGTGGATAATGGCAGGAGATAAGAAAAGTAGGCAGAGGCTAGATCATAAAGGGCCCTATATGACATGCTAAAGAAGAGCTAGAATTATATTCTGTAAGGCCTAGGTTTTGCTCAGCAGAGGTATGGAAGGAAGAGTGTAGGAAGAGAAGAAAGAAAAGGATTGAGTCTTATGTCTATAATACCAAAATCTTAACAAAGTGCAAATCAAGAAATGAGACAACAGGATGTAGAAGTTTAAGCATATTATTTCAGTGTGCAAAGGTAACCAGTACAGGAAAAAATATATGTAACTAGAGCTAAGTGATTGTCTGTCTTTGTAGGAAGTAAATAGATATCTATAATTGATACATGAAGAAATAATATTAGGAGGAGCATATCATTTAAAGATATAGTATTTATAGTATTTGGTATAGTAATTGCCAAAAATACTAAAAACAAATTATAAGAATAGTTGCCCCTGGAAAGCAGGCCTGGAGATGTGAAAGGGTGAGTTTTTTTATTATAAGATCTTTTTGAATTTGTAATAAACATTTTTTAAAATTTAATGTGTCCTAGCTGGGCTTGGTGGCTCATGCCTGTAATCCCGGTGTTTTGGGAGGCTGAGGTGGTACGATTGCTTGAGCCCAGGAGTTCAAGACCAGCCTGGAAAACATGGTGAAGCCACGTCTCTACCAAAAATACAAAAGTTAGCCAGGTGTAGTGGTGTGCACCTGTAGTCCCAGCTCCTTGGGAGGGTGAGGTGGGAGGATGGTTTGAGCCTGGGAGGCGAAGGTTGCAGTGAGCCAAGATCATGCCATTGCACTCCACCCTGGGCAACATAGCCAGAGCCTGTCTCAAAAAAAAAACAAAAAACAAGAAAATTTAATGTGTCAGAAAAAAAAGCATTTCTTTGTTAATCATTTACTGTGTATTAGGCTATGAGATCCCATTACCTCCTTAGTGAAGGAATCTGACATATTTTTCTTGTTTGTAGTTTGCATGTACAAAGTTTTTCCAAATGTAAGCTGTCGTGGTGATTTTTCTTCAGAGTCAACTTGACTAGCTTTAGCCTCAGGAAAAAGGCAGTTGGAAAAAAAAAAAAAAGGTTAGCTGTAAAACAGCCTTAAACAGGTCCTTTAGGAGTTATTCCAGAAGAAGGCATTGTTATCATAGAAGAAGATAGTTTCAAGTGTGTTATTACCCCTGAAAACATTCCAGTAGAACAAAATGTGAATGTGGAAGATGGTGATATTGATGATCCTAACCCTGTGTAGGCCTAGGCCAATGTGTGTACATCTTAGTTTTTAACAAAAAAGTTTAAAAAAAAAAAAAAATTTTTTTAAATAAAAAAAAGTTCATAGAATAAGGATATAAGGGAGGAAAATATTTTACCCAGCTGTACAGTGTGTTTGTATTTTAAACTAAGTGTTATTACAGAGTCAAAAAGTTAAAAGTAAAAGAAATATAAAAGTTTATAGAGTAAAATTATATATATTATTATATATAAAATATATAATATGATAATATATAATGTATTCTCAATATTATACATTTCTCATATTTACTAGAATTTTTTTTCTTTCCAACTTGTATTTTAGGCTCAAGGGGTAAATGTGCAGATTTCTTACATGAGTAAATTGCGTGTCACAGGTGTTGTACAGATAATTTTGTCACCCAGGTATTCCACGTAATACCCAATTATTTACTAGAATTGAAACACTTCTGAATTATACTAGCTGTTAATGAAAAAGAGTCAAATTCTGGAAAATATTTGAGGGGATTTATTATGAGCTAAATATGAGTGAACAAGGCCTGAGGCACAGTCTCAAGAGGTCCTGAGAACATGTGCACAAGGTGGTTGGGTTACAACTTGATTTTACACATTTTTGAGGGGCAGAAGTTACAGGCAGACATCAATACATGTAAGGTGTCCATTAGTTCAGTCTGAAAAGGCAGAACAACTCGAATTGGGGGTGGGCAGTGCAGGGAGACTTCCAGGTCATAGGTGGATTCAAAGGGTTTCTAATTGGCAATAGGTTGAAAGAGATAAGTTATTATCTAAAGACCTGGAATCAATGGAAAGGAATGTCTGTGTTAAAATAAGGGGTTGTGGAGACCAAGGTTCTTATTATGCAGATGAAGCCTCCAAGTAGCAGGCTTCAGAGAGAATAGATGGCAAATGTCTCTTATCAGACCTGGAAAGGTATTATGTAAGACCTTTAGTTAGTCTCTCCTGGATCAGGAAAAGATCTGGAAAAGGAAAAGGATTATCTATAGAATCCTTTTCCCCACAGGAGACAGCTTTGCAGAGCCATTTCAAAATATGTCAAAGAAATATATTTTGGGGTAAAATACTTCAGTTTCTTTCAGGGCCTGCTGTCATGTGATGCTGTGCAGGAGTCAGGTTAGAGTTTGGTATCTTATTGCTATGAAGTGTCTGTTTTGCCAGTCTTAAGATCTCTGTTTTATTGTTAACGCTGATCACTTGTGCCTGAATTCCAAAGGGAGGAGGGTACAATGAGATATGCCCAACCACCGCCCTTCCCATCATGGCCCGAACTAGTTTTTCAGGTTTACTTTGGAATGCCCTTGGCCAAGAGAGGGGTCCATTCAGTCAGTTGGGGGGGTTAGAATTTTGTCTTACAGAACTGTGCTTTACTCATTTTTATAACAGTCCAGCCAAAAGTCTGCTCTTAAAGCCAATAGAAAAAGAAAGAAAGACTTAGGAGTGAATCAGTAAACTTCAGGCATTTGTAGCAGTTCATATTAGACATTTGAGGAAGATCTAAACAAATCTGGGGAAGATGAGAATGAGGAAGAAAAGCTGGCCTTCCAATAGGAACTTATAAAAGAGTACATGAAATAAGGCTCAAACCACAGAAGCTTAAAAGTCATGAAAAATGCTAATGAATTCTTTCTAAATTCTAAATTAAAAGAAACATTTTATTAGAATGTCTAAAATGTGTTTTAATTCTGAACTTGATTAACAATTCTGAGTCACAGTTGGGATGTACAATTTTCAGAACAGTTTAGAAACAAGCAAACAAAAAAGCCTTTTAAATGAGTGGATATTTAGGGAAAACTTGTGGGAGTGTTTGGGACATTTGCAGTGAGCTCTTTCATTTTTCCTGATTGCTCATTGTGAAGCAGTAAGTAACAGGCAGTAAGTACCAAACAGATCATTTGGTACAAAAAGAAAAATCTGTATTCAATAACTATAAATTTAGGAACTCTAACCTCTTGCCACAGCATCTCCATGTTATTCAGCATTGGAGCTCAACTACCGACTGTGTCAATCAAATAAGAGTATCAGGTTCCTGTGCTAAAAATATTCCAGCTCAAATCATCTTGGCAGACAATACCAGAAAAAACAAACATTTTTCTGTCTATTAAAGTGACCAAATGTTAGGAGACTAAATATAAGCAGAAAAGACAAGTAATAGCTGCATAACCTTGAGCAAGATACTGACTGAGCCTCAGCCTTTTCTTCATTAAAATGATATTTTTAATGCAGGTCTATAGTCTTTACTCTGCAATTCCAAAACAGGACAAAAAACAAAACACTGTGAAACCCAAAGTGTTTTTGTAAGTTTGGCACCAGGATTATATGCCAAAGAAAACCTACTGTGAACAAATATGAAGCCTCTATTGTCTCAG
Organism: Homo sapiens; assembly: GCF_000001405.40. NCBI lineage: Eukaryota > Metazoa > Chordata > Mammalia > Primates > Hominidae > Homo > Homo sapiens. The sequence continues at coordinate 89,694,394 of NC_000010.11, read as the reverse complement.
CACTTGTATCCGTAAGTCACACATGCCTCTGCTATTTGCTGATATTTTCTGACTTGGGGATTAATTCCATGGAAAATGTCGAAAAGGGCTAAAGATATACCTATGGGTAACAGTGAGAAGAAGAAAAGGAAGCATCTGTCTTTATCAATATCTCAGAAAGTGGAGTTATTGCAGAAACTTGATGGTGGTATGTCTGTGAGGTGTCTTACTGAAGAATATGGTATGGGAACCACCACGATATATGACTTAAAGAAACAGACAAGTTGTTGAAATTTTATAGTGACAGCAATAACCAGGAACGAATGAAAAATAGAAAAACATTGCATAGAGCCAAAAATGAAGACCTTGACCCTGTGTTGATTGAATGGGTTCGACAACAAAGAAGTAAAGATACACCACTGACTGGTTTGTTGGTCGTGAAACAAGCTAGAATATACCATGAAGAACTGAACTTTGAAGGAGAGTGTGAATATTCAGGAGGCTGGCTGCAGAAATTTAAAAAGTGTCTTGGAATCAAGTATCTTCAAATCTGTGGTGAAAAGGCTTCTCCTGATGATGAAGCTACTGAAAATTACATTGATGAATTTGCTAAGGTAATATCTGATGAAAATCTTAGCCCTGAACAAATTTACAGTGCTGATGAAACAGCTTTGTACTGGTGCTATGTTCCTAGAAAAACTTTAACAATGGCTAACAAAAGAGCAACAACAGATGTCAAAGATACTAAGCAAAAGTTAACTGTTCTTGAGTGTGCTAATGCTGCAGGCACACACAAGATAAAATTGGCAGTGATTGGAAATAGCCTATATCCAAGGTGTTTAAAAGGTGTGCATAATTTACCTGTACATTGTTATGCACACAAGAAAGCATCAGTAACGGGAAATCTTTTCCAACTGGTTTGATAGGCACTTTGTGCCAGCAGCATGAGCTCATTGCAAACTGGACTGGAAGACAACTGCAAAATTTTGTTGTTTCTAGATAACTGTTCTGCACAACCCCCTCCTGAACATCTTGCGAAGAGCAATGCTTTTGGCATTGACTTTCCCCCCAGTGTGACGTCTGTAATACAACCTTGTGACCAAGGAATTCTACACGCCGTGAAGAGCAAGTATAAACAGTTTTTTGAAAAGCATCCTTGCTTCAGTTAACAGAGGCCTGAAAATCCAGGACATCCTTAAAGAATTTAATCTTAAGGATGCCATCTTCACAGTTGCTAATGCTTGGAACGACGTTGATAAGTCAACATTAACAAATGCTTGGCATAGACTTTGGGCTACAATTATGTTTGAAAGTGACCTAGCTGATGAAGATTTTGAAAGAGTTCATGACTCTAATGAGAAAACAATGGTAGCATAATTCATTACCTATGCCAAAAGTTTATCAGCCAAAAGTGTAAATAAGTTAGAAGAAGCTAACATTGAAGAAAGGGTTAACATTGATAATGATGAACCCATTGTGCATCCTAAGAGTGATGGGGAAATTGCTGAGATGGTGTTAAATGCAGATCAATATGAAGATGGTAGTAGTAATGATGATGACATTATGAATTTGGGTGAAAAAAATCTCCATAGATCATATGGTGAAAATGTGTGACCGATTAATTGCTGGCCTTGAACGATGTACATTTATCAGTGAGCAAGAGCTGATGACAATTTACTCAATTAAAGAGAAACTGCTTAGACAGAAACCTGTGTTAAGGAAGCAGGTGAAACTGGGAAAAGTCTTTAATAAAGCTCTCTGTGGTAATGCCGCTTCATCTCTTGACAATCCTGTTTCTGGCTCATCAGATGTCCAGCTCCAACCTGGTTTCATAGGCAGTGGTAATACTGGAACAACCTCTTCTCCAAGATTCTCAGGCAATCAAAGGTAACAAACGTTCATTGCATGTATATGTGTTATGGGTTAGTTTTCATCAGTATAAGTTTTAAATTTTACTTAAAATTTCCTTAGAAATAAGAAGCTTTTTCACAAGTGACAAAACACATTAAAAGCTTATGGTATGTGTGGTCTATATTTATCTTCATATTTCATTTACCAATAAACGTATTTATTTAAAAATGTTATTTACCAATGAATTTACTAATATATTTTTGTAAATAAATTGTAATATTATTTATGGTTTTGTTTCACTTAGTGTGAATTTTCACACATTTATTCGCAGAAATAGTAAGATTAATGTGTTTCATTACATAGTACTGTCCTGTACCCATTTGGAATGTTACAAAATGTATGCAATTTATGTAGTATATTCCAAAGGATTCCAATTTCATCCTGAATTCCAAAAAATTCTCATTTCCAAAACACATTTGGTCCCCAGAGTTTTTAAGAGATTATAGACCTGTGATTCTTTTTTGTTGTGAATGATCCAGTGAAATGATCAATGTAAAATGTCTCACACAAAGTAAATGCCCATTAAGTGTAGTTGCTATTATTAATATTGCGTTACTCTACTTTAAAAATGTAAGACAAGCTTTTTCTGACATTGAAGTTAGCAATAGCATAGGTAATGATATGCATTCTTCAAGTTTTATTACTCTAGGAGATGCTTTGGCAATGTGCTGCTGATAAAGTGTATTAGAGTATCTCCTAAATCTTCATCCAAGAATGGAAACATTTTGCAAATCAGAGGATAGAAAATGTTATGCTACATCAAATTAAATTGCATGTTCATAAAATATGAACACATCTAGTTAGCCCTTATTAATCAAAGAAATATAATATTTTTATCTGCTGCTAACTATCCCCTCAGCTCCGTGTGCCATAAGCACCACACAAACAATAATTTAATCTCCCTTGTGAGCAAAGATTGATTTTTAACCCTCTTCATATAATTTCAGCTACTATTATAAGACCTTGAACATAGCTGAATACATAAAATTGGTATTCTGTTTTGTAAAGAAAGCTGTTATTAGCCTGATGAATGTGAATTGATTCCTGTGGCCTTGTCTTCTTTGTTTTGTTTTTTTGTAATGTTTGTTCATTTAAAATATAAGATGTGTTGCTTTTCTCTCATTATAAAAGGCATACATCGTTCTTGTAGAAAACATGGAAAATACAATTTATAAAGAAGAAAATAAACTCATCTCTAATGTGACAACCAGTGATACAATCACTCTTAACATTTACTTTCAAAGCTATCTATTGCATTAAAGTTTAAGCCTTACGGGGGCAGAAACCATGTCCATTCATTCCTGTTCTCCACCCTGTCCTTGCTATCTTACCATAGTAGGCATATAACACATTTAAAGGAAACACACACTCACACACTTAGGGACCAAACTATATTCACAGGATTTTTGGCCACATTACTTTTAGTGAACACTATATTGTGAGAATTTTTCCGTATGAATTCTATTTGATTTGACAAAGCCAGATTTTCTACACTGCATTCAGCTTATCCTCTTTTCTTCTGGGACTTTCTACTCACAGGCCCAAGGGTAAGCATTATTCTGCAGTCCCTCTGCCAGAGTACCTACCTTCTTTATTGTTCTCACCATTTTTCCATCATAGTTGCCCCTCTTATTTCCCATTAGCTCATGCTGCAGCTTTCTGCTAGCTACTCTTACCAGGTATAAGAAACCTTCACCATCATGTAAACTCATATACAACCTGACTGGTGATTGGCTCCCATTCTCTACTCAACATATTTCTTCAATTGGGGTGAGCTAAATTTGCACAGGAGAGGCTTGACATGGAAGGTAGAGAGAATCCCAGACAGGATGGAACAGCAACTTCATCTTGTTAAGTAGGAATGTGGAGGGTAGGTCCTGCATCCACAATATTATCCATTCCATTATCTTAGGATCAGTCATAGAAACAAGTCCCATTCAATTGGAAGATGCCTGGAATCACTATGCTGACCTGGAAATCTCAGCTACACAAATGATTAACAGTCTGTCCTACCGATACCTAAACTAAAATGAAGAACCGGCCACCAGATGATACGAAACCTTATATCATGAGCCAAAATCTAGGAACTGGCCTCATGTCGTTGAATTTTTGAACATCATTGACCATGTTATGTCAGGCTTTTTCTGTAACTTGTGCAAAATCTAACAATGGATAATGTTCTCCCTCCTCTCCCAACTAATATGGTTTACATTAGCTGTTCATTTGTTTAACCTAGGGATAGGAGTCATCTACAGTGTGAATTCCCGTTGCTTAGTAGTGGCTGCCTGAAATGCATGTCTGAAAATTTGAAGCCATGTTTTTGCTTAGTCAGTGTGTAGTGGTCATGTGTTGATCTCTGCCATTGGTACAGAAAGTAGAAATGTCATAGCATATGCCATCTGTCACTTATGGGGACCTTAAATTTTCCTATTTACATTTGGTTCAGACCTTTTGCTTTGCTCAGCTAGTGTAATTTATAAGTCATCTCACAATCTCATATTCTTATTCTGCATTATATTGCTCTAGCCATGGACAGGGACCCCTTTTCCTTGACATACACACAAGCCATTTGTGTGTATGTTGGTCACAATTAAAAGGCTATAGTGATGGAAAGAGTACTTTCACATAAACCAGACATTTAACTTTGGACACTCCTGTCTTTAAAAGTCTTTCAAATGAACCCTCTGATATTGAATTGGAATCTAATGTATTAGTATGAACTCATAATTTTTATTATTTTAGGGACAGAGTCTCACTGTGTCACCCAGGCTGGAGTGCAAGTGGCATGATGATAGCTCACTGCAGCCTCAAATTACTGGGCTAAAGTGAGCCTACCACCTCAGCCTCCCAAATAGCTGGGACTACAGGTGTGTGCCACCATGCCAGGTGAATTTTTTGTATTTTTTTATAGAGACAGGGTCTCACTATGTACCCAGGCTGTTCTCAAACTCTTGGCCTTGAGAGATCCTCCCACTTCAGCCTCCCAAAATTCTCGGATTACCGGCATGAGCCACTGTACCTGGCAACTCATCATTTTTAGTACATATACATGGTTAGATACAGAAATATAGAAGTGTATACACACAAGGGTATGTACACAGGTCAGTGTATACTAACGGGTTAGTATACATGCAAATATGCCCAGTGATAGGGCCTAAAAGCAATGATACTCCAGTAATAATGAGCATGCCTAGTACCCAGATTTGATTTTTAAATACCATTCTTAAATAAAAGGAACCAGGGTTCCTTCAAGAACTTGTTGGTCCTAGGCAGGTCAGGGAAATTACAAAATGAGCGTGTACTATCTCATGGTGCCAGAAAGTAAGGAAATGCTTTAAAATAAAGTAAGATGTGTCAAAGGTACATAGGCATCAACCTAAAGAATCTCCAAAAGACCAAAGCTGGAACAATTTGAACAACAAGCTAAATAATAACCATATTAACCATAGTGGATTATAACCCACGTGGTAAAATAAATATTCCTGTGACCATATATTGAAGTAATTGATTAAATAAAGAAGTAGGGGAGAAGAGACAGCTCTTCCTTAGAGTAGAATTCTGTGGTGGCTAAAGCAGCTCCATCTTGGGTGATGCTCTGCCATGTTGGCTTCTGATTAACCCCTGTTCTGGGAAGGCCACCAAGATTTCTAGTTTATCTGTTGCTTTTTGTGTAAGAGCAGGCACTTACCTTAAATCCTGACCTTAGGCTAAACAACCTTGATGTTATCATACTTCAATTACCCTACACATCCTTTCTGAACTACTCCTCCTTTATGGTGTATAAGACCTGGGTCTTGGGGGTAATGGCGTGGGGACCTACCGTCTCGTCTTGTGCCCATCTGAGACACAGACATGGCTTCTGTTCATTTAATGTTTCTAAGAAACTGGATGTTTTATTAACTGTTTCTTTCTAAGAAGAAACTGGATTTGTCAGCATCTTTGGCCTCTCAGCTTC